>NC_000008.11:4291991-4594276 GCF_000001405.40 Homo sapiens | reverse complement strand
AGCTGAGATCACGCCACTGCACTCCAGCCTGGGTAACAGAGCAAGACCCCGTCTCAGAGAAAAAAAAAAAAAAAAAAAAAAGATCACTTTAGAATTAATCAAGTTAAAATGAGGTAATTGGAGTGGGTCCTAATTCAACATGACCAGTGTCCTTATAAAAAGGGGAAACTTGACACATAGACAGAGAGGCACATGAGGAAGAGGCCATGTAAAGATGGAGGAGACTGATGATTCTTCCAGCCAAGGAGCACCAGAGATTCCCAACAACCTCCAGAAGGTGTGGAGAGACAAGAAGGGTCCTCCACAGGCAGGGTTTGGAGGGAACGTGATCCTCCTGACATTTTGATTTCAGACTCCTGGCCCTCAAAACTGTGAGACAATAAATTCCTGTTGCTTTAAGCTGGTCTGTTTGTGGTATTTTGTTACAGGCAATCTTAGCAAACTGCTCCATTCTCTAGAAGCTTTTTGATAAAGTTCTTTAACTTTATTAAGCATGCTAACCTTTTTTGCAAAATGGAAATGATGTTGCATATAGCTAGGAATTGTTGGAAAAATTAAGAGATCTGGTATACAATTGGTGCTTATTACATGGAAGTAGTAACTAATAATTTTAAACTAAGGTCTTTTCAGAGCTTTAAGACTCCGGATCACAAAAATCATAAAAATATTTCTGTCATTTGTTATTTTCTACTTTCATTATGAAGTGTGATTATATATAAATATTAAGTGCTACAAATAGTCACTTTATGGGCTATTTATAATTGAAAAATAATCCAAGACTCTAAAAGCGTTCTCTTTTATGTTTCACTTTCACTAAATGGCCATTCTCCTGTGCTTAAGGGTATTTCAGTTGGAATGAAACATTATGCCAAAAATACATAATTAGCACTAAAATTATTATGCTTAATTTTTTATCATGACAATAACAAGGATTTAGCCATGCTGCAGAAGTATTTAATTAATTTGCTATGTATGCGTAAAGAGGAGAGGGAACAAATGGGGAAATCATATTAACGCTCATGTTCCTGCGGAAATTCCATTAACCTTGCTTTTCAGCAGCAGCAAAAGGCAGATTCTGTAGGGCCCATTTGTATGCACTTCAGTGACTGCCTGGTCCTCTCAATGCTGAGACCTCAGCATCCTCCATTCACCCTAAGAAAGGAATGAGACCAAGAAATGGCCCGGATGCATTATGCAAGATATCGCAGGATGAGATGACACCAGTGATTTACAAACCCCTCCAGCATGTAGACCAATAAGAAATTTTCTAAATAGTTTTATGAATTTCACAGGAAAGCCTGAGAAAACACATATAGAAAGAAAACTACAGCAAACCTCACATATAAATAAATGCTGATTCGAAACTTCTAAATAAATATTAACATAGAATTTGGGAGCAAATGAAAAAATCAATAAATATGGAAATTCATTTCAATAGTATTACAATGATTAAACAACAGGATATTTCGTGTATTGGTAGATTTTAGAAAACAATATTTTAACTAAGTATAAATATTAAAATTCGTAGATAAAAATTTAGCACACATTTTGGATTGAGCTTTATAAATGTCATCAAAAATAAGGAAAAGAGGCCGGGTACAGTGGCTCACGCTGGTAATCCTAGCACTTTGGGAGGCCAAGACAGGCGGATCACTTGGGATCAGGAGTTTGAGACCAGCCTGGCCAACATGGTGAAACTCTGTCTCTACTAAAAATACAAAAATTAGCTGGGCGTGGTGGCCGGCCCCTGTAGTTCTAGCTACTCAGGAAGCTGAGGCAGGAGAATCGCTTAAACCTGGCAGGTGGAGGTTGCAGTGAGTCAAGGTCATGCCACTGCACTCCAGCCTGGGAGATGGAGTAAGACTCCACCTCAAAAACAACAAAGCGATAACAAGGAAAATGAATACGGAAGAGTATATTTTTTAAAATATTTGTGACAATTTAATGGAATAATTTAAAAGCATTCCAATTACCACTGTAAATATACCACTTTCACTATTCTGTAATACCCTCCTGGACACTTTAGTTACTGCAACTAGATAAGATAATAAGAGGCACAATTAAAGGAAGATTCTTGTTGGGAGCATGAAATCTACCCTGAGAGTATTATTTATGCCACAGAAATTGGCAAATGTTATAAATCAGGAATCCGTTATGCCAGCAAAGCCGCTCGTTAAACATCTACCAGCATGTCCCTACTGTTAGACGTCCCTCCGGTACCTCAGATGCAATGGTCCATAAGAAATTCACTGGTCCCATCCTGGCCGCATTGCATGACCTGCAGCCTGTTTTGCCTTTGCCAATATCTCCATCTATCTAGGCGTTTGCACTAGCAGCTGCCTTTCCTCCGATCTCCTGAAGTCCCTCAGAATGTCTGCCCAACTTTCAGCCTCCCCACCGGTCCCTTGGTCATTACTTTCTCCCCTCTGCCTTGTTCCAGAGGCCCCCTAGACGGTCTTTCTGTAGCCACTGCCTCATTGCTGAGTACATTCCCCTCAATACGCTAAGTATTTCCAAAACAGATCCTATCCCCTCACTTCACTGCTTTAAAACCTTCTCTGCAATTTTCATTGCATATTTATATTAAAATTCAGGCCTGTTCCAATCTGACACTGACCTACATACTTATGCCCTCTCCTGCTGACAGTTGAAGGCCCAGTTCCGCCATCACTACCCTTGGAAAGCTGCTTGCATCTGCTCCCAAGAGAGAAGCCTGCACTACAGTCCTCTCTGTGTCCTTCACTCTGTAATCACGCTATACCACAGTGACTTCCCTGGACCTACCATGCAGGTTTACAGCTCGATAGCTCTGCTCATTTGCTTTTGCTCAACAGCTTTGCTCATTTCTGTTTGGAATGCTTTTCTTTCATCCCTTCTCCACCTGGAATAGTTGTATTCATATATCCAAGGTGGCCCAACTAGTTTGTCTGTGAATTTTGTCTGACCTAGACCAGAAAGAATTACTCACTTCTTCCTCTGGGTCTTTGTTCGACTTCGTACTTCACATTTGGCTCTTCCTCCTGGTGTTTGTGAGTTCTTCATATTAGAGATCATTGCTTATTTCATCTTCATCTTTACTCAGCCAATACCTAATAATATGTTGTAAACAGTAAGCACTCAACACACAACTGAAGAAATGATGCATTCAGAACTCAATACTTTTGATGGCATAGCTTACAACCTTAGAGAATAGCAGATCCTGGGAATTTCTGTTGGAGACAAGAACACAGGCTTCAGAGAAACATGCAATTGATTGACAGCAGGGAAGAAGGCAGGCCACAGGTGAGATATGAAGACTAAAATAAGACAGCAACCAGGTGTGTTTTAATCACCAACTCAGCAGAGCTCAGAAGGCCTGAGAGCATTGTTGTATCACAGAAATGTGTACGATGAGTTCTGCCAAGTAAAGATTAGTCATTATGAGAAGCTCAAATTATGTCCCATATCCTTTTATTAAGAAATGTTTAAAAATTATTTTAGGAAAAAAATTTCCAAAATCTTAGTTACTAGTGTCCTCAGATAAGCAAAAGAAAACCAAAAGCATAAAAGCAACAAACAACAAAAAATCTATCTATTCAGTGCTTCTCATTTTCTTAAGATTTCATCGTGAATATAGCTTTATAATGTTGTAAAAGTCAACAACTTTGAACAACATATATTAACAGTATACATTTTTATTTTAAATAGTATATTTCTAATTTATATTTTTATTTTTAAAAGCATATAGGGAGAGGTGTCATAATTCCAGGTATTATGCTAGCGCTTCAAATATATGAAATAAAGCTATAAATTTTATTTACATTCTACATACCAGAACAATCTTAATGAGTACTTTTGAACAGCTAGGGATGAATAACATAAAATTAATAAGCCCAAAGTCCTTTCAGTATCTTCGCATGTTGATTGAGCATGTATGTTTTAGAATTTAATGTATTCTGGATGTGACTTTTGTTTTCATGGAAATCCAGTAGTCCATGTCTGCTTCCCAGAACTTTTCTGTCCCCATGGTCACCATCTCTCCACTTTCAAGTATGACGCTAGACACTACTCTTGTAACACATACCACAGATGAGTTATCCTGGTCTCATCTAAAAGAAAAAAAAAACAGCATAAAGAATTCTGAGCAAAATTCACTTGCTTTACCAAATAAAATTGCATGTTATTCTAAATAAACCTATATAACTTTGAAGATTTCATAAATACATGTTACCACCACAAAATAAATAAATGTAATATTGTTAAAAAGCATAGACAAGCATTTGGAGCCATTTTGACTTTTAGAACAGACAGTATCTTAAGCACTTGCTTAGCCTAGTAACCTAGGAACTTCCAGGTCCAGTGTGTGGGTTAGACAAAAGCCACATATTCTATGGTGTCAGAAGGCAGGTCTCAGTGGCATCAGGCTCCTGATAGATTCTGAAAATTATTAATACGCTGCATTCCAGAAACTGCCAAAGTATTCTTGATACTCTTTGACATGGCAAAGATATATATTTTTTCCCAAGTTGGCAACTAATTATTTTTATCATTTTTTTGGCCGTGATAATGGCAATTTAGAAATCATGTGTTTCTAATTGTACCATTCAACAATTGCGGAGGTTATTTTTGCTTGGTCTTCACAGTGCAAACACACTTGCCTAATAGTATTGTAGAATGAACACTTTTTGAGTAATGAGTTAGCAATTAATAATGCAAGCAAGTCCCATATTATAGAGTCGACATTAACATATTATGCACTTCCTAACCTGGGGAATGAGTGCTGATTTGTTTTTCACTGTTGTCTCGCAGGCACTGATCAGCAGAGAGTTTGTCTTACTTAACTTAACCCTTTAATTCTTAGTATTGGTAAAAAAGAAATAGTCTATTCCTTACTATCATTGGTTTTTGGTTCAGAGTCCCTGAGAAGAGTGAGATATTATGGTTAATACTTTGAATTAGGCAGAAAAAACATGGCTAAAGATCACTGAGGCATCATTCTTATTGGCATAATATATGCAGAGGCAAAACACAAATTTAGAAATAAAAATTAGATTTATTTTCCAATATAGAAAAATGTAGTTCTTTTACATAACTCTGATAAGGCTCTATCCAATTCCCTTTTTTGCACTTTTCTTTCTTTTCTCATTGAGAGCAATGAAAATTCTAGTTTCTCTTTTTGAAACATTTACAAATTAAAGATAGTCTAAGGACAACATATTTTTTATTTTTCTATTTTTACACTATTACACATTATATAATGTGCATGTAGTACACGTTGTATAATGTATACATAACGTGTTTATATAATGTATATTATATATAGTATATTGTACTTGGCTCTACTATACTTAAAGGCAATGTATATGTGTATGTATATTTTTTCCAAGTGAAAGGGCACCCTGGAGTGTTTTTAATGCCACATCACATTCGCGTCAGTGGAAGCTTGAGCAGCAGCCTGTGAACAGAATCAAGCACAGAGTAGAGTTTCTTTTGTGTGTGTGTGTGTGTGTGTGTGTGTCGGAGTCTTGCTCTGTCGCCAGGCTGGAGTGCAGTGGTGCAATCTCGGCTTACTGCAACCTCTGCCTCCCGGGTTCAAGCGATTCTTGTGCCTCAGCCTCTTGAGTAGCTGGGACTAAAGGCGCCCGCCACCACGCCCGGCTAATTTTTGTGTTTTTAGTAGGGATGGGGTTTCACCGTGTTAACCAGGATGGTCTCGATCTGCTGATCCGCCAGACTCGGCCTCCGAAAGGGCTGGGATTACAGGCATGTGCCACCATGCCCGGCCAGAGTAGAGTTTCTTAAACAGGAAAGAAAACATCAGACCACTGTTTCAAATACAGTGCAGAGAGGACAGACTGGCTGTACTATCTAGAGGAAGAGATAGTTCTTTATCTCTGTCTTTATGAGATAGTTCTTTATCTCTGTCTCTAGATAGCATAGCCAGTGTGTGCTCTCTATACTGTATTTGAAACTGTGGTCTGATGTTTTATTTCCTTTTTCTTTTTGGCTAGTATCAGCATTTAATGGAATCCTAAAAGTTACTGTCTTCTGACGGCCATTGAGTTGTAATCAACACCAGCAATATATTTCTTCTCTATTTAAATATATGCCTAAGAAAATGTTTGATATCATTTTACTAGCCATTTAAAATAAGCCCGTCTTTGAAAAATTATTATCCACTCTAGCTAGAGGGAAGCCAGAGGCATTTTAGAATACTGAACATGTATTAGATTTTGCTTTACCTTGCTCCTTTTGTTAGTTTTCTTTTTCCTATGCTTGCTTAAATGGTGCTGCATTCACGATTCAGGAAAGTAGCTAGTTGATGTTGCTGGGTATACTTTAAAGTCTACACACAATCTCCTTCTATCACTGGAAGTGAGTTTAAAAGTATTCACACTTCAGTTTTTAAAGGGACAACAGTTTTTACATTTCAATAAATTTCATAATTTTTTATAGTTACAGAGTTGTGGAAAGGCAAAATGTTTTAACAAAATGGTACCCACAAGTTCATAATGTGAAAAGTGCTTGTGTTAGCATCTACTATAAATGCAAAGTCTTAATGTTTACTTTATGAAGAGTGTCATAAGTGGAGAAAATCTCTTAACCAGTACCTAGTGAAGGCATAGTTCATAAGACATAGTTCTCTTCAGTAAATGAGATCGTGATCATGAGTCTGAGTACAATTATTTGTAAGTAAAGCTTATTTCTTCTTTTACACATCTAGGAAAGGTTCTGTATCAAAATAAATTTCCTTAGGTGTTAGACACTTGGACAAGGAGAAATTCATGTGTGCATATATATATACATATATGTACATATACATATGTATCTACATATACATATATATGTACATATACATATATATCCACATATACATGTACATATACATATATATCCACATATACATGTATGTACATATACATATATATCAAGAACTTGATGCTTTGAAAAGCTCACAGTTTTACAGTTGTGTAATTATTTTTGCAGAGAAAGTGAGTAAAAGAACATTAAGCTCTTCAAACTATGCATCAGTTCCCAGTACTCATTTCAGTGTAAAACAACAGACAAGTGGAGAAAACTCATTTTTTACTGAAGGAATTACATACCCTTCAAGTAAGCCATAAAAGCTGGTTGGCTCACGATGGGCAGAAAAATCAATGTGGAAGAAGAGAGCGCACCTAATCTATTGGCCTCTGTAGGATATTGTCATATATAATAGTAAAAGCAATGTTTCATGGATTAAAAGAGATGAAAGCATTCATTCAAAATTAACTAAACTTATTTTTAATGGGTATCTCTATTATAACTTTTTAGGCGCTCTTATATAGATGTAACCTCTCTTACACAGTACAGATTCATGCATGCAAGTTCTCATTTATTTATTCATCAAACAAAGTTAAGCACTCTTATCAAATACTATGCCAGATACTGGATAGAAAAAGTTGAACACCTGCCATGATCCTACTGTGCGTGCAGACCTGTGTGCAGAACAGCTGCAGCCCAGTATCATCCTGGAGGAGCACAGAAAGTGCCATGGGGAACCGCACAGCTATTCATGGAGGATCTCTCTCACAGGCATGATGCTTTAAGGAATATGGTGTGGCGGTATTTCATATACATGTGAATAAAACAAAAAGGGATTTTAGTGCTGTGTTTTTATGATATAAATTACTGAGAGGGAACAGTGTTTATCCAAAAGTCCTAGAGAAAATAAAGCATCAAAAAAAATGCTAAAAAGGTTACGTCCATAAAAACATTGATTTTTCCTGGAAAATTGCCAAGCTGTGGCTCATCCAGAAGGAACTAGGTGTGATTTTTATCATTAAACCAGTAAATATCACAGTTATGAATTTGAAACATGAGCTTAACAGGTTAAGTCTGTAACAGGTTTGGTCTGTGACTTTAACAGTTTATGTAACCTTTAAAATCAACACTCTGTGAGAGAAATCTATCTCTACACAAGCAATTAGTCACTGCCAATGGGAATTGCCTGGGGAAAAATTGGGAATGGCTGATGGGTACTAAAATACAGTCAGAATGAATAAGAACTAGTACTTGGAAGTGTAATAGGGTCACCATAGTTAACAATAATTTATTATGTATTTAAAAATAACCAAAAGAGTGGAATTGGCATGTTTTTAAACACAAAGAAATGGCAAATGCTTGAGGAGATGGATAGCCAATTACCCTGATCTCATCATTACACGTTGTATGCTTGTGTGAAAATATCATGTGTACTCCATGTATACGTACAACCATTACATGCGCATAATAATGAAAAAGGTAATGATGAAAATAGTCATTAAAAGTTTGAATTAATTTTCAAATTATTTTGCTAATATATTAAATCCCACAAATCAATAATTTTATTGTTACATATAATTTTCCCATCAGCTTACATTTTGTATTGCTGTTTATTCCATCTTTACCTGCATGCTTTCATCTAATATAATTTTTATTCGACCTGAAAAGGACTAAAGAGTATTTACTCAGATTTAATTTAACTTAAAATGTCTTCAATTTCTATAGGATAGTTTCACTTTGTATAGAGCTCTATGTTGGTCATCATTTTATTATAGCACTTTAAAGACAGCATTCATTACCTCTGGCTTTAATTTTTTTCCATTGCAAAATCTTCTGTAACTTTTATTGTTGCTTCTTTGCCAGTCCTTTTTCTATGATTAAAATTTTTCTCTTTGTAATTTGGTTTCTTTCATCTGAATTCTACCTTTTCACTTCTGCTCAAAGTCTCTAATCAGTTACAGTAAATTATCTGTCATTATCTCTTCAAATACTTCTTTCATTCCATTGTTTCTTTTTTCTCCTTATGAGGAAATGTTATTTATTATTTTGCCCATATTCCACGTTTTGTGACAGTCATTCTTCATTTACTATTAGTTTCGTTATCCCTCTTTCAAAAATTGTGTATTAACCTTTTTTCTAGTTCTCTAATCCTCTTTTCAACTTTGCCTAATCTGCTATTAATTAGCTTAATTTTTAATTTCTGGGACTGCCTATTTCAACTGCAGAATTTCCATGTGACTCCAGTCTTTGTAGATGGCAGTTCTCTGCTGATGTTCTTTATGGTGCTCTTTATTTCTTTGAACATATTAATCACAGTTATTTTAAAGGCAACTTCTGCTAACTTTAATATCTACACTTCCTGTTAGTCTCTTTCTATTGTACTTTTTTTTTTTTTCTCAGTTTTTGATCACTTGGTCTTTTCTCCTGGTATGCTGGGTAATTTTTTTAAAATATAGAATCTTTTGTATGAAAAATTGTACAAATAATTTGAGAGTCTGGTTGAGGTTTGATTTCCCCAGAGACCATTTATTTTGTTTCTGGCAGGCAGTTAGACTGGGGCTGATCTCCTTAATCCAGTCTAAATTTGAGCTGCTTAATCCAATCCAATGCAATCCACAGTTGATCCAATCTAAATAAAAGCTGGTTTTCTTATAGGAGAAACTAGAAAAGCACCAGAGACAGGTAGCAATTTTTAGAAGCGGGCCTAACCTCAGAGAGGAGAGGTGAGAGGAAGTTTGTCTGGCCGGCATTAGGACCCAGAGGGCAAGGGTCAGGATAGATAGGATAGATGGGCAAGTCTGGCTTGGGCGACATGCTTTTGAGAGTTCCGGTCATGGCCACAGGGTCAACCAACATGTTGTTGGGACCCCGGAGCTGCATGGCTTTCCTCTCTGTAGACCCTCGGCTCAGCCCAGAAGTACAGGAAAAGCGGAAGCTGGTTCTAGGCAAACCAACGGTCCCAACTCCGAAGAGTTGGGGGTTGTTAGAGAGCCCTTTCCCAGAAAGCCTGACACCCGTTTCTTTAGTCCGGCGGCCACGCTAGTCGCTTTTAACTGGCCGACAGGTGCCCGGTATTTAGCCCCCGAATTCTAATGAAAAATAGGACAGAATAGCAAGCGAAAGGGGTCTGATGCTACTCACTGCTTGGCGATTGGCGATTGTCTCACTACTCGGCGATAGGCGACGGTCTCACCACTCGGCGATTGTCTCACTGCTTGGCGATAGGTGAAAGTCCCTTCGTGGTCGCCAAAATGTGTCCGGAATTGGTGGGTTCTTGGTCTCACTAGCTTCAAGAATGATGCCACGGACCGTCGCAGTGAGTGTTACAGTTCTTAAGGTGGCGCGTCTGGAGTTTGTTCCTTCTGACGTTCGGATGTGTTCAGAGTTTCTTCCTTCTAGTGGGTTCGTGGTCTTGCTGGCTCAGGAGTGAAACTGCAGACCTTCGTAGTGAGTGTTATAGCTCTTAAGGCGGCGCATCTGGAGTTGTTCGTTCCTCCCCTCCCGGTGGGCTTGTGGTCTCGTTGGCTTCAGGAGTGAAGCTGCAGACTTTGGCGGTGAGTGTTACAGCTCATAAAAGCAGTGTGGACCCAAAGAGTGAGCAGCAGCAAGATTTATTGCAAAGAGTGAAAGAACAAAGCTTCCACAGTGTGGAAGGGGACACGAGTGGGTTGCCACTGCTGGCTGGGGCAGCCTGCTTTTATTCTCTTATCTGGCCCCACCCACATCCTGCTGATTGATAGAGCCCAGTGGTCTGTTTTGACAGGGTGCTGACTGGTGTGTTTACAATGCCTGAGCTAGATACAAAGGTTCTCCACGACCCCATCAGATTAGTTAGATACAGAGTGTGGACACAAAGGTTCTCCAAGGCCCCACCAGAGCAGCTAGATACAGTGTCCATTGGTGCACTCACAAACCTTGAGGTAAATACAGGGTGCTGATTGGTGTGTTTACAAACCTTGAGCAAGATACAGAGTGTCGATTGGTGTATTTACAATCCCTGAGCTAGACATAAAGGTTCTCCAAGGCCCCATCAGAGCAGCTAGATACAGAGTGTCGATTGGTGCACTCACAAACCCTGAGCTAGACACAGGGTGCTGATTGGTGTGTTTACAAACCTTGAGCTAGATACAGAATGCCGATTGGTGTATTTACAATCCCTGAGGAAGACACATAAAGGTTCTCCAAGGCCCCACCAGACTCAGGAGCGCAGCTGGCTTCACTCGGTGGGTCCCGCACCACGGCTGCAGGTGGAGCTGCCTGCCAGTCCCTGTGCCGTGTGCCCGCATTCCTCAGCCCTTGGGTGGTGGATGGGACTGGGTGCCGTGGAGCAGAGGATGGTGCTCGTTGGGGAGGCTTGGGCCGCACAGGAGCCCATGGAGTGGGTGGGAGGCTCAGGCACGGCGGGCTGCAGGTCCTGAGCCCTGCCCCGCGGGAAGGCAGCTAACGCCGGGTGAGAAGTCGAGCACAGCGCCGGTGGGCTGGCACTGCTGGGGGATTCAGTACACCGTCCGCAGCCACTGGCCCGGGTGCTATGTCCCTCATTGCTCAGGGCCGGCAGGGCCGGCCAGCTGCTCCGAGTGTGGGGCCAGCCAAGCCCACGCCCACCCGGAACTCCAGCTGGCCCGCAAGTGCCTCGCACAGCCCTGGTTCCCACTCGCGCCTCTCCCTCCACACCTCCCCGCAAGCTGAGGGAGTGGGCTCCGGCCTTGGCCAACTCAGAAAAGGGCTCCCACAGTGCAGCGGTGGGCCAAAGGGCTCCTCAAGTGCCACCAAAGTGGGAGCCCAGGCAGAGGAGGCGCCGAGAGCGAGCGAGGGCTGGGAGGACTGCCAGCCTGCTGTCACCTCTCACTATGAGGGCTGGTGCATTTCCAGGTGCATCCTTGCTAATGTGTAGCCCTTCAGTGACCTTCAGCTGTGGGCTTTGGAGCTTGCTAGAGACTGTCTTCCTTCCTGATCTCTCACTCCTGTGAGACTACAGGACTTAGTTTCTCCATTTCCTGCCTGGTGCCTGGAGGAAAGAGTGGATCTGTATTGGGCTCACCACTCTGTGTTTTCTTTCTCTCCGTTATTCTGGCTCCTCAAGTTGTTGCAGCCCTGATAATCTCTCCTTTGTCCTCAAAACAATTATGTTTATCTTGTAATATATTTTATCCCGCTTTTCTAATTTGGCTCTGCAGGAGACTTGGTCTGATAACAAGCTGTTTTATCTTAGCCGGAAGATCATGTCCGGGACCATTTTTTAGGTCAGCCCTTTATTATTATTGACAGTAATTCTAAGTGCTTAGTGGGTGTCAGATATATGACAAACCTCATGTCTGTCAATTTTCACTACAGACATGCCAGGGAAGGATTATTCCTCATGTGCTACTCACAAAGCTCATCAGTTCAGATAATAAAAACAAAACAAACCAAAAAAAAAAAAGAGGCTCGGAACGCAGTGTCCCATGACTGCTTCTCTCTCTGCGATGCTGTTTCATTTCATCATCGTAGGCTACTGAGATTTTAGCCATCGTCGTTTGTCTTCCATCAAATGCTTCCTTAGCCCCAACTCTTTCTTTGACCTGACTGTACTGTGAGACTCAAGTTGATGGTGGATGTAGGGGACAATTCACAGCAGATCTGGAGGAGGTAGAAGAGTCCAGAGATTTGGGTCAGTGCTTTGTGCCCTCCCAGGCTTCCTGACTCATTTGCTCAGAGCCTAGCAATAGCCAATAGGCAATTGTCTGCCAAGATGGTCTTGTTGGTCTGAGGTGAGGGCCCTCTGGGAATTCTCTGGAAGCTGTTAAAACCGACCTGCTTATGTGACCCCAACTGGGAGCATAGACAGATTCAAATGAACTCCCCTTTCCACTAACTTTCTTTTAACACTGAGGAATCAATTCCTAAATATAGTCTCTTCTAAAATGTGTCTTAATGATATATTGAGTATTTTTTACAATGCTGGCTAAAATGAATCTGTTATGTATTTAAAATAATGCATGCTTCTCAAACCCTTTTTCTACATAAGATTATCTCATATTCAAAAACAGTTTTCAAAATAGAAAACAACTGCTTGCTAGATCTGCCAAGCTCAAAAAGATAAAAATTGGAGTCATATCTTAAACATATAAGTTAAAAATGTACAGTATATCGAGAGGTAGTAAGATTTAATTAAAGTAGTATATATTCAACTTAAAATAATTCATTACTTCCTCTGCATGTGTCTTGTTCTTTTTTCTTCATGAAATAAACATTTTGAAATGCCCAATTATTATTAATTTTATATGAAACATTCTTTTCATTGCCAAATTAGTTTTATCAACAAGTCAACTAAATTCTAAAATAGAAATTTGTGTTCATAGATGGTATCCTTGACTAAAGATTCTTTCTACCGTTCATTTTCAGTTAATATTATTTGAATGTTTACCTTAAAATGTAGTCATGTAAACTAGTTTCATATGCAGTCTTTGCTCCATGGATTGATTTACCTAGCCATGACCACATGTCTGTTACATGTGAGGCACTGGAATAAGGACTGAGGTGGACAATCGTTGTCTATCTTTTCACCTAAAAGTGATGTAAAAATGTGCATTGAACTTCCGATGATGTCAAACACAATAGCAGGGAAAAATGCAATAAATTATTTGCATTCCGTGAATTTACAATCCAGTATGAAGCGGGCAGTATGTACAAGATACAACTTTTTAAGATAGGATATAATTAACACTATCATAAGGAAATAAAATGTTAGGAGAACCTCAAAGGGAGAGAGATTGATTTGGGGTGATTTAATCAGGAAGGGCTTCCTGGTGTTGTCGCATTTACCTTGGAAGACGCGGTGCATTTTGCTCAGCCAGGGTAGAAGAGAATGTCTTATGTGATGCCACGAAGAAGAAGGAGGGGAGAGAGCAGTTATGGGTGAGATGGAAGAGGAGAAAGGAGGAGCCTCATGAGACGCCCGACATGGGGAACAACTCAAGCTGGGAACCCGACGGCCCGAGCCAGAACCTCATGATATTAGGAAATTTCCATAACTTCGCTATGCCTCAATTTTCTCACCTGTAAAGTGGATGCAATAGTTTTTTTTATGCTTTTAATATCATTATTTGTGTTACACGATACACAACAAAGGAAGATGGTCAACACTGCGATGAAAATGTTAAAAAGATATATGATACAGGGCTCATGTCTTTCATGTACCTTCCTGGAAATAAATTAATGAGCATGGAGACACCTGGCTGGGTGATGACCACAGCCGAGAGCAGAGGGCGTGTTAAGGCAGTACCCACAAGGGGAAGGGCAGCAGGGGGCAAGCTCAGGCTAGATTCCATGAAGTTTACATAACAGTTGAAAGCAGTGCCTGGTACAGTCAGGGCCACATAGGTGTTTAATACATTTTAAAGACAAAATATTTAGTCCTCCCACCCTCTTTAAATATAGAAACAAAAGCAGAGAAACACACTCATGTAGGTTGGTCACAGTTACTACTATAAAGATGTGACAGTTCACATGGAAATGGTAGTATTTAAGAAAATAAAAAGCAAGTAGGGATTTGGAAATGTAAACATAAAATACAGGAAATCGAGCTATGCATCTGGAGTTAAAGACTTAATTATACCCTTATAAGACTTAGGAAAACTAGGTAAAGTTTTACACTTGGGAAATGTTTATCTGAGAATTGAATCCTAGAATTTAACAGAAACATGGAACACAAGTAAGCCAATAATGGAAATAAAATTGGAAATTCACCTGTAAAAATTCACCATGTAAATTTACATGGAAATTCACCATGTAAAAAACATGGAGTTTCCAGAATATTTTGCTTCAGAAGTATCCTTAAAATATAGGTTTAAGGCCGGGCATGATGGCTCACACCTGTAATATCAGAACTTTGGGAGGCCAAGGTTGGTGGATCATGAGGTGAGGATCTCGAGACCAGCCTGGCTAACATGCTGAGACCCCATCTCTACTAAAAATACAAAAAATTAGCTGGGCGTGGTGGCGGGTGCCTGTAATCCCAGCTACTTAAGAGGCTAAGGGAGGCAGGAGAATTACTTGAACCTGGGAGGCGGAGGTTGCACTGAGCTGAGATCACGCCATTGTACACCAGCCTGGAGGATGAGAGCAAAATTCTGTCAAACATACACAAACACACACACACACGTGTGTGTATATATATATGTATGTATGTATGTTTAAACTTCACCATTGGCAAGAGGATTTTTTATATATATACATATATATATGTATATATATGTATGTATGTTTAAACTTCGCCGTTGGCATGAGGATTATTTTCCTGATTCCGTCAGAGCAACCACACCTGACTTTTTAAATTCTTAGTGTGTACATATTCCTCACAGGCCACTTTTTCATTCTGCAATTACTGCTCTTCCTGCATGTTTTATTGTCCTTACTCTTTATAAACTGTATAAATGGAACAGTTTATTGCAGAAAGATATCTTTTGCAGTGTCTAACATTGTGCCTTTATGTGATAAACATTTATGTACAATTTTCAATTTAATTAATGAAAAGATGCTGTTTAAAAAGGTTAATCATTTTAATTAAATGTATTGATTTAATATTTTTCCACATGGTGGTTTTCACATGGTGATTTCAAAATAATGATCTAGTAAAATGTGCCTTCTATAATGCCGCCATTTCTGCTTGTAAAGATAGGTTTGTTTTTTTTTTTTTTTTGAGGTGGAGTCTATCTCTGTCACCCAGGCTAGAGTGCAGTGGCACGATTTCAGCTCACTGCAACCTCCCCCTCCCAGGTTCAAGCAATTATCTTGCCTCAGCCTCTTGAGTAGCTGGAATTACAGGACCTGCCACCATGTCCAGCTAATTTTTGTATTTTTGGTAGAGATGGGGTTTCACCATGTTGGCCAGGCTGATCTTGAACTCCTGACCTCGTGAACCGCCCACCTTGGCCTCCCAAAATGCCGAGATTACAGGCATGAAGCATTGCACCCAGCCAAAGATAGGTTTTATAATAAAACAGGAAATTAATACTCTGAATATTTGTGGAAGGATTTATGTTTATTTAATTCACAGTGAAGAATATGATGTAGTCCCTTGCTGAGGTGGGCGAATCATGAGATCAGGAGATCGAGAACATCCTGGCTAACACGGTGAAACCCCGTCTGTCCTAAAAAAAAAAAAAAAAAAAAAAAAAAAATGAGCCGGGTGTCGTGGCAGGTGCCTGTAATCCCAGCTACTCTACTCGGGAGGCTGAGGCAGGAGAATGGCGTGAACCCGGGAGGCAGAGCTTGCAGTGAGCCGAGATCACGCCACTGCACTCCAGCGTGGGCAACAGAGCGAGACTTCCTCTCAAAAAAGAACAAAAAATGCTCTTTTATCAGCCTGTGGTAAGATGTGGGGGACTTTGAGTATAGATTAAAATTGCTAGAAGCAGCTCTGAGCTAACTCGGGTGCACTTGCACAGTCAACTTTTTACACACATTAATGAGTACACAGTCCTAAAGCCGAGCCCTGGGTCCACCAAATATGTGATCCCCGAAAGTCCAAAATTTACATAGAAACCAGACCCATGTCATTTTTCTCTGGCCATCCAATATCATAATTGCACTAAGGCTTGTTTCCTAGGACTTGATACATTTACTATATATTTAGTTATTAAATATATATTCACTTGAGGTCTGCTATGTGCCAGGGAAAATGCAAGGCCAAGGAATGTAGCTCTAAATCAGGTATCTTTTTTATTCTCAATGAGCTTTCAGTTAAGGACAGGCAGATAAAGTAATCAAACAGCATACCCATGAAAACACTGTGTTAGGGTGCAAGGGCACTTTGAAGGAGCAATTTGTCCTCTCTTAGCATTCAGGGGAAGCTTTCATAGAGAAACTGAAGTGTTGAGGTGTGAAGAGTAAGACTTACCTGGTGAAGAAGAGATACTGGATCCTGCCTGAGGGAAAAGCAATTTCACACCCGGAGGAAGGATGCCGTGGGCCACACTGGAGCCTGTGGATGGGCTGTGGATGGCAAGGTGGGTGCTGTGGTGGCATAGGGAAGAGGAAGGAGGGGAGCACGCTTGGAGCTGGGAGCCTGTTGGGTTCCTGAGAGCAGAGTGTCCAAGAACATTTCCCCGACTTGAGAGGATGGAAAGAAATGTGCCACAGGTTTAGAAGGTAATTCTGAAATAAGCTCTCCTAAATATTTTGGGGCATCATTATTGAAATAATTTTAGTCTCCCAAGAGAGCAGCTATGAAGTCAGCCCATCTGAGGAGCTTCACAGACTGCTAAGTGAATTTTTTTCCTTTCTTACATTCTATATTTGATTTTGATACATTCAAAAGAAAATCTCGCTTCAATAAATGTATTAAAAATCAGTGCAAAAAAAACCCAAGGAAACATTGCAGAAGATTAGCATAAATTATACACGTTATATATGTGTGTGTATATACAAATTATCATATAATCATTTTTGGCCTGTTCGTAATCAAAGCAATATTAAAGAAATAAAAATTCAAGATCTAATATCTGTCACCATGGAGATAGAATCACACTGTGTTCATCGAATTAGAAAACTTAGCTGAGAGCTTGGAGGATTTCTACATAAGTAAATCTAAATAATCATTCTATTAATTCCTGGAAAAATTATTTAATCATAACTGAAGTATGTGACTAAAGCATTTGTGGAAATGTACATGAAATTAAAATAGTTTGTTTTAAGTATTAATATTTAAATTATTTTTGGTAAATATCTTAATATCACTTGAATTAGCATACATATTGATATTAACATATATTTCTGAAAATTTAGTTAAGTTTTAGAAAGAGATTATCAGACTTCTAGCTACTTATGACTGAAGGCTATTATTTTACATTGTTTTCATGTATCCAAAAATATTTATTTAATAAATGCTATATATATACAGAGTAAGCTAGATACTGGATGGACAATAACCCAACGCCACACCCCACCCCCTGCCAACAAAAAAGGTGAGAGACAGTCCTTGCTATCTTGGTATAGTAGGAGAGAGTTACTTATTAGAAACTGTATGTGAAAAAATATATACCTTCCAGCCAAACGAAGGACTATTAAGGAAAAACTGTAAGAGGATTTTGCAAGAAGAGGTAATCTAGTCTGGGGAATGGGACAGGGGAAGGTCTTGGCCAAATGCCTCTGACTCTCCCCTGAAGAGTGAGCAGGAGAGAAGCCAGGAGAAAAGAAAAGAATGAGAGGAGAACCCAGGCAATGCCCTGTGGCAAGAGGAAGCCTTGTGCTTTTGTAGAGGAACTAGAAGGGTGCCTGGAATTCAGAAGACGAGGTGGGGACTGGAGTAGTGTAGCCTACAGAGCTGATACAGCTTAGTGCACATAACTCGACAGTCCTGCATACTTTCTGCAATTATTCTAAGAGGGATAGGCTAGCAATAAAGAGGAGGTTGAATGGTCAATTATGCTGGCATGTGGAGCACTGGTGAGAGAAGAGTGGATGTTGAAAGATAATGCAGTAAATAATTGTATTTTTCCACCCAAGAGATCACGGCAGCTTGGACTGAGGCTGTGGTGGTGGAGGTGGATTTACGAGTTTGATTTGGTGATGTGCTGTGGGATTGTTTGATTTACACTGGAACGATCACAACAGCTGTAACACGGGGAATGAATGACAGCAAGTTTGCAAGTCTTTAGAAGGCGACTGAGATGATCTAGTCTAAGGACATTGCGACCTCAGACTAGCTTGTTATTGCCGGAGATGAGACCAGCAATTGTTGATAAGCACTTGTGGAGTATGAGAGAAGAAAATCAAGAATACTTCTCTTGGTCATGTAAATTTATTAACATATTTTAAATCTTCAAAATGTTGCCTGTATTTAGACAATTTTATTCCTTTGTATAGGCAAGGGGAACTGGAGTTCAAATGCACTGAGCCACATGTCTACCATATCATAATGAATTCACAGTGGACACAACTTTCTGTCTCAAAGTGAGTTTGATGGCCAAGAGGTGCTCTCCCTTCTGCACTCTGGTGATGCCTCTGGAGGATACCTGCATTATTCCTTTTCTTCAGATAACGTTCAGAGAAATTAATGACCTGCCGGATGTTACACAGACAATATGTAGTGGAAATGGTTCTACAACCCAGGACTTAAATTTCTAAAATCCAGCTTCCTTTTCATCCCGCAACTTTAATAAAAATGTGACCTGTTATTGCCACTTTGCAGAATCACATTATTACATAAAAAGGACAGGGACACCAATCATATATGAAAATAATGAGAATGATCTCCACCTTTTAATTGTAAAAGGAGACAGTAACTGTATTTTTAGGAGAATTATAGTAACCTTGGAAGAGGTCAAGTGATAAGATACAGTTCTTGGCCACAGTGCTATAGAGACTGCAAAAATATTTATTGAATGAAAGAATGAACTATGCACCTTACATGTTAGTGCATTTTGGCTGGATTCTATTTTATAGTAAATTACAAGTATACTTTTAAAAAACCTGGTTTTCCAGGGGCCCTTTCTCCTTTTATTTACTGAGGAAGCACAATATTAAAACCGAATTTCACCTGAATTTCATAGAGGTCATTAGGAATAGTTCTTGATCTAAAAGATATTAAAACAAAATTATATGTGTGTATGTTATTCTTTCACAAAGAAAGTCTATTTAAATTAAATTTTGGACGAAGAAGCACTTGAATCATGAAAGATTTTTGTTGTTTTAGTTTTGTTTTGATATTGGATGGCAAATGCAGAAACTATGAGTGTTGCTTTCATTGTGCTTCATCAGTACACCTCATGATAAAGGTGTGTGTCTATGGTTAGTTTTGAAAAGAAGACAGTTTTCCCCACATATCTGGAAGAGAGCGTATAGCTAATTCAAAGATTCAGAATTCTTTAAGTGTCTCCCATTAATGTATTCATGGACACATAAATTGAGACACACAAAGCAGTTGGAACTCAGCAAGATGACCGAATAGGAACAGCTCCCGTCTGCAGCTCCCAGTGAGACCATCACAGAAGGCGGGTGATTTCTGCATTTCCCTCTGAGGTACATGGATCATTTCACTGGGACTGGTTAGAAAGTAGGTGCAGCCCACGGAGGGTAAGCAGAAGAAGGGTGGGGCATTGCCTCACCGGGGAAGTGCAAGGGGCTGGGTAACCCCCTCTCCTAGCCAAGGGA
This sequence comes from Homo sapiens, assembly GCF_000001405.40. Taxonomy (NCBI): domain Eukaryota; kingdom Metazoa; phylum Chordata; class Mammalia; order Primates; family Hominidae; genus Homo; species Homo sapiens. The sequence goes on along the minus strand of NC_000008.11, from coordinate 4,574,359 downwards.
AGCCGTGAAGGACTACGCCGTTGAGGGATGGTGCTATCCAGCCCAGATAGCATGCTTTTCCCACAGTTTCTGCATCCAACAAACCAGGAAATTCCCTCAGATGCCTACACCACCAGGGCCCTGGGTTTCAAGGAAAAAACTCGGCAGCTGTTCAGACAGATACCGAGCTAGCTGCAAGAGGTTTTTTTTGGACCCCAGCGTCTCCTGGAACCCCAACGAGACAGAACTGTTCACTCCCCTGGAAAGGGGGCTGAAGCCAGGGAGCCAAGTGGTCTTGCTCAGTGGGTCCCACCCCCATGGAGTCCAGCAAGCTAAGATTCACTGGCTGGGAATTCTGGCTGCCAGCACAGCAGTCTGAAGTCGAGCTGGGAGACTTGAGCTTGGTGGAGAGAGGGATGTCTGCCATTACTGAGGCTTGAGTAGGTGGTTTCCCCCTCACAGTGTAAACATAGCTGCCAGGAAGTTTGAACTGGGCAGAACGCACCACTGCACGGCAAAGCCACTGTAGCCAGACTGCTTCTCTAGATTCCTCCTCCCTAGGCAGGTCATCCCTGAAAGAAAGGCAGCAGCCCCAGTCAGCGGCTCATAGATAAAATTCCTGTCTCCCTGGGACAGAGCACCTGGGGGAAGGAGTGGCTGTGGGTGCAGCTTCAGCAGACCTAACTCTTTCTGCCTGCTGGCTCTGAAGACAGCAGCAGATCTCCTACCACAGCACTCAAGCTCTGCTAAGGGAAAGACCGCCCCCTCAAGTGGGACCCTGACCCCCATACCTCCTGACTGGGAGACACCTCCCAGCAGGGATCAACAGACATCTCATACAGGAGAGCTCCGGATGGCATCTCTCAGGTGCCCTTCTGGGACAAAGCTTCCAGAGGAAGACACAGGCAGCAATCTTTGCTGTTCTGCAGCCTCCACTGGTGACACCCCAGGAAAGAGGGTCTGGAGTGGACCTCCAGCAAACTCCAGCAGACCTGCAGAAGAGGGGCCTGACTGTTAGAAGGAAAACTAACAAGCAGAGAGGAATAGCGTCAACATTAACAAAAAGGATGCCCATGCGAAAATCCCATCCAAAGGTCATCAGCATAAAAGATCAAAGGTAGATAAATCCACAAAGATGAGGAAAAACCAGCACAAAAATGCTGAAAATTCCAAAAACCAGAATGCCTCTTCTCCTCCAAAGGATCACAACTCCTTGCCAGCAAGGGAACACAACGGGACAGGGAATGCGTTTGATGAATTGACAGAAGTAGGCTTCAGAAGGTGGGTAATAACAAACTCCTCTGAGCTAAAGGAGCGTTTTCTAACCCAATACAAGGAAGATAAGAACCTTGATAAAAGATTACAGGAACTGCTCACTTGAATAACTAGTTTAGAGAAGAACATAAATGACCTGATGGAGCTGAAAAACACGGCACAAGGACTTCATGACGCATACACAAGTATCAGTAGCCGAATTGATCAAGCGGAAGAAAGGATATCAGCGATTGAAGATCAACTTAATGAAATAAAGCATGAAGACAAGATTAGAGAAAAAAGAATGAAAGGAAAGAATAGAGCTTCCAAGAAATATGGGACTGTGTGAAAATACCAAATCTATGATTGATTGATGGACCTGAAAGTGACGGGGAGAATGGAACCAAGTTGGAAAACACTCTTCAGGATATTATCCAGGAGATCTTCCTCACTCTAGCAAGACAGGCCAACATTCAAATTCAGGAAATACAGAGAACACCGCTCAGATACTCCTTGAGAAGAGCAACCCCAAGACACATAATCATCGCATTCACCAAGGTTGAAACACAGGAAAAAATGCTAAGGGCAGCTAGAGAGAAAGGTTGGGTTACCCACAAAGGCAAGCCCGTCAGACTAACAGTGGATCTCTCTGCAGAAACCCTACTAGCCAGAAGAGAGTGGGGGCCAATATTCAACATTCTTGAAGAAAAGTATTTTCAACCCAGAATTTCATGTCCAGCCAAACTAAGCTTCATAAGCGAAGGAGAAATAAAATCCTCCATAGAAAAGCAAATTCTGGGGGATTTTGTCACCACTAGGCCTGCCTTATAAGAGCTCCTGAAGGAAGCACTAAATATGGAAAGGAAAAACTGGTACCAGCCACTGCTCAAACATACCAAAATGTAAAGACCAACAACACTATGAAGAAACTGCATCAACTATTGTGCAAAATAACCAGATAGCACCATGATGACAGGTTCGAATTCACACATAACAATATTAACCTTAAATTTAAATGGGCTAAATGCCCCAATTAAAAGACACAGACTGGAAAATTGAATAAAGAGTCAAGACCCATCGGTGTGCTGTATTCAGGAGACTCATGTGCGAAGACACACATAGGCTCCAAATAAAGGGATGGGGGAATATTTACCAAGTAAATGGAAAGCAAAAAATAAGCATGGGTTGCAATCCTAGTCTCTGATAAAACAGACTTTAAACCAACAAAGATCCAAAAAGACAAGGGCATTACATAATGGTAAAGGGATCAATGCAAGAAGAGTTAACAATCCTAAATATATATGCACCCAATATAGAAGCCCCCAGATTCGGAAAGCAAGTTCTTAGAGACGTACAAAGAGACTTAGACTCCCACACAATAATAGTGGGAGAGTTTAACACCCACTGTCAATACTAGACAGATCAAAGAGACAGAAAATTAACAAAGATATTCAGGACTTGAACTCAGTGGACCTAGTACATCTATAGAACTGTCCACCCGAAATTAACAGAGTTCACATTCTTCTCAGCACCACATAGCACTTATTCTAAAATGGACCACATAATTGGAAATAAAACACTCCTCAGCAAATGTAAAGGAACATAAATCATAACAAACAGTCTCTCAGACCACAGTGCAATCAAATTAGAACTCAGGATTAAGAAACTCACTCAAAACTGCATCAACTACATGGAAACTGATAACCTGCTCCTAAATGACCACTGGGTAAATAACGAAATTAAGGCAGAAATAAATAAGTTCTTTGAAACCAGTGAGAACAAAGACACAATGTACCAGAATCTCTGGGACACGGCTAAAGCAGTGTTCTGAGGGAAAATCATAGTGCTAAATTCTCACATGAGAAAGCAGGAAAGATCCAAAATCGATGCCCTAACATCACAACTGAAAGAACTAGAGAAGCAAGAGCAAACAAATTCAAACCTAGCAGAAGACAAGAAATAACTAAGATCAGAGCAGAACTGAAGGAGATAGAGACATGAAAATCCCTTCAAAACCTCAGTGAATCCAGGAGCTGATATTCTGAAATGATTAACAAATTGATAGACTGCTAGCCAGACTAATAAAGAAGAAGAAGAGAGAAGAATCAAATAGACATGATAAAAAAAAGATAAAGGGATATCACCACCAATCCCACAGAAATACAAAGTACCACCACAGAATACTATAAATACCTCTATACAAATAAACTAGAAAATCTAGAAGAAATGGACAAATTCCTGGGTACACATACTCTCCCAAGACTAAACCAGGAAGAAGCCGAATCCCGAAATAGACCAATAACAAGTTCCAAAATTGACACAGTGATTAATAGCCTACCAAACAATAAAAGCCCAGGACAGACAGATTCACAGCCGAATTCTACAAGAGGTGCAAAGAGGAGCTTGTACCATTCCTTCTGAAACTATTCCAAACAGTAGAAAAAGAGGGAATCCTCCTTAACTCATTTTATGAGGCCAGCATCATCCAAATACCAAAACCTGGCAGAGACACAATAAAAAAAGAAAATTTCAGGCCTATAGGCCTAATATGCCCGATGAACATCGATGTGAAAATCCTCAATAAAATACTGGCAAATCAAATCCAGCAGCACATCATAAGCTTATCCAACATGATCCAGTCAGCTTCATCCCTGGGATGCAAGGCTAGCTCAAAATACACAAATCAATAGGCGTAATCCATCACATAAACAGAACCAGTGACAAAAGCCACATGATTATCCCGATAGATGCAGACAGGGCCTTCGATAAAATTCAACATCCCTTCATGCTAAAAATAATAAACTAGGTATTGACGGAACATATGTCAAAATAATAAGAGCTGTGTATGACAAACCCACAGCCAATGTCATACAGAATGGTCAAAAGCTGGAAGCATTGCGTTTTAAAACCAGCAAAAGACAAGGATGCCCTCTCTCACCACTGCTATTCAACGTAGTGTTGGAAATTCTGGCCAGGGCAATCAGGCAAGAGAAAGAAAGAAAGAGTATTCAATTAGGAAGAGAGGAAGTCAAGTTGTCTCTGTTTGCAGACGACGTGATTGTATATTTAGAAAACCCCATTGTCTCAGTCCAAAAAGTCCTTAAGCTGATAAGGAACTTCAGCAAAGTCTCAGGATACAAAATCAATGTGCAAAAATCACAAGCATTCCTATACACCAACAATAGACAGAGAGCCAAATCATAAGTGAACACCCACTCACAATTGCTACAAAGAGAATAAAATATCTAGGAATACAACTTACAAGTGATGTGAAGGACTTCTTCAAGGAGAACTACAAATCAGTGCTCAAGGAAATAAAAGAGGACACAAACAAATGGAAAGAAAAATTCCATGCTCATGGATAGAAAGAATCAATATTGTGAAAATGGCCATACTGCCCAAAGTAATATATAGATTCAATGCTATTCCCATCAAGCTACCATTGACTTTGTTCACAGAATTAGAAAAAAACTAAAGGTCATGTGGAACCAAAAAAGAGCCCGTATAGCTAAGACAATCCTAAGCAAAAAGAACAAAGCTGGAGGCGTCATACTACCTGACTTCAAACTATATTACAAGACAAGAGTAACTGAAACAGCATGGTACTGGTACCAAAACAGATATAGAGACCAATGGAACAGAACAGAGGCCTCAGAAATAACACCACACATCTACAACCATCTGATGTTTGACAAACCTGACAAAAACAAGCAATGGGGAAAGGATTTCCTATTTAATACATGGTGTTGGGAAAGCTGACTAGCCATATGCAGAAAACTGTAACTGGATCACTTCGTTACACCTTATACAAAAATTAACTCAAGATGGATTAAAGACTTAAATGTTAGACCTAAAACCATAAAAACCCTAGAAGAAAACCTAGGCAATACCATTCAGGACATAGGCATGGGCAAAGACTTCATGACTAAAACACCAAAAGAAATGGCAACAAAAGCCAGAATTGACAGATGGAATCTAATTGAAATAAAGAGCTTCTGCACAGCAAACAAACAAACAAACAAAACTATCATCACAGTGAACAGTGAACAGTGAACAGGCAACCTACAGAATGGGAGAAAATTTTGTCAATCTATCCATCTGACAAAGAGTTAATCTAATATCCAGAATTTATAAGGAACTTAAACAAATTTACAAGAAAAAACCCATCAAAAAGCGGGTGAAGGATATGAACAGACACTTCTCAAAAGAAGACATTTATGCTGCCAAAAACATATGAAAAAAAGGATCATCATCACTAGTCATTAGAGAAATGCAAATCAAAACCACTATGAGATACCATCTCATGCCAGTTAGAATGACCATCATTAAAAAGTCAGGAAATAACAGATGCTGGAGAGGTTATGGAGAATTAGGAGCGCTTTTACACTGTTGGTGGGAGTGTAAATTAGTTCAACCATTGTGGAAGACAGTGTGGCAATTCCTAAAGGATCTAGAACCAGAAATACCATTTGACCCAGCAATCCCTTTACTGGGTATATACCCATAGGATTATACATCTTTCTATTATGAAGATGCATGCACACGTATGTGTATTGCAGCACCATTTAGTATAGAAAAACCTTGGAATCAACCCAAATGCCCATCAATGATAGACTGGATAAAGAAAATGTGGCATATATACACCATGGAATACTATGCAGCCATAAAAAAAGAATGAGTTCATGTCATTTGCAAGGACATGGGTGAAGCTGGAAACCATTCTCAGTAAAGACACAGAAACAGAAAACGAAACAACGCATGTTCTCAGTCATAAGTGGGAATGGAACAATGAGAACACAGGGACACAGGGACACATCATAGACGGGCCTTTCGGGTGGTGGGGTAAGGGGAGGGATAGCATAGCATTAGGGGAAATCCCTAATGTAAATGATGTGTTGTTGGGTGCAGTAAACATGTATACCCATGTGTCAAACTGGCACTTTCTGCACATGTATCCCATAACTTATATATTTTTTTAAAAAGACACACAAAGCATCTTAGATGTGAATGTGCTTTTGAATATGAGTATTTTATTTTTATTCTTGCATTAACCAAGCATTCACATTTTACAGTATCAGTCCACATGCAATAAGCACATTTTAGAATGGGCTCTGATCCAGCCCTGTGAAAATCACTGATACTCAAAGTTAAATAACAGTCCTTGTGCTGTAAGAATCTCTGTTACGTGGACAGAAAGTGCAATTTCAGGTCATTGATTAAGTGAACTCATTAAAAAATGAAAAGACTAAATATTCTTACTCAGCATGCTTATGTAGAGTCTGAATTAATAAGAAATATTCATTAGCTCATGCTGCCTCACTTTTTTTTTCCTTTCTGGTATACGATAATTTTATGACCAGCAATAGTTTAATATAAGTGCAATGTAGATAGCATATATCAGTAAGTAACATTGGAATTGGCCCAGCTATAATGTATTGTGAAAATCAGCATCTGGGCAGAAGAACCTTCGTCCTTTATTGGGAGAAAGGAGGAGCATCATCTCATAATAATTGCACAGAGCACTCTTTCTGTGGGGTTTTCAAGCTCAATTTTGTGACTAATTCAGACACTTAATGAAGAAATAAAGGTCTGTTTTCACAGTCTACCTGCGATTTCTAAGTTGGAGTGGGAAGAAGTAGTACATTGGAATTGCTCTTTTCTTCCTCCTTCCAAGAAAAGAGACGAGGTAGGAAAAAAATGCCATTTGTTGTTGTTTTCTCCACAGCTGCACCATTGTGTCTAATTCCTGGTGCAACAGAGGTCTCTTCCAAGTGCATGTTTCACTTGTTCTTGTTTGTTTTGCTTACTTTTAATAAACATTATTGGGTTTTACAAGCTCTGAGAAATAACACAATCGTTACAATTGTAGTGAATGAAACCATTCATTCACTCACTTATATTCAATCCCCACTGTTCATGCTCTGTGACATAAACCAAATAAATGCTACCATAAAAGTAATGTTGTAAACATTCATGGAATACTCTGAGTAGGGCTGTGATGCTGTGATTTATTTTCAAAGCCATACATTTTAAAATACAGATTAATAAATTTAAGCTATTTATGGAAGCCCCCTTTTCAAATACTTCTCCGTAGGACGCCAGTTAATACCTTGAAAAATACATACAGGATTTCATTGGAGAAAGTGATGTTTTCTCCAGAGACTGCTAAAGTCTCGATTGCTAGAGTTATTTTAAAGTTTTAGTTCATTCCTGAATTGACTTTTTCTCATTGCTGGAAAACATTCAGCCAAGTCAATATTTTTTAAAGAAAAGATGGAGCTATATCTTCATACAGTAAGGCCCAGATAACTTTGCTGAAACAATTTGCAAACAAACATACGATTTTATTCATTAAAATAAATTTTGTTATATAAAGTGCACATTCCACCTCAAATATTTGAAACTGTTTGTATATATGTATTCCAAAATTATACCAAAACTAGCTTTCTTTTTTTTTTTTTTTTTTTTTTTTTTGAGTCAGAGTCTCCCTCTGTCACCCAGGCTGGAGTGCAGTGGTGCGATCTCAGCTCACTGCAAGCTCCACCTCCTGGGTTCACGCCACTCTCCTGCCTCAGCCTCCCGAGTAGGTGGGACTGCAGGCGCCCGCCACCACGCCCGGCTAATTTTTTGTATTTTTAGTAGAGACGGGGTTTCACCTTGTTAGCCAGGATGGTCTCGTTCTCTTGACCTCGTGATCAACCCACCTCGGCCTCCCAAAGTGATGGGATTACAGGCATGAGCCACCACGCCCGGCCAACTAAATTTCTTATAAACCATTTTCATGGACTCTTGTCATACATTTAATAATGAGCCAATGGCTTTCCTTTCTAAATGTATTTTGTCAATAACTTACTAGATGGTGCCAGGTACCAGTGTTTTAGTGAAATTTTCATAGCTACATTGTTGAATGTATACATTTTGACTAGCATGGTCTATTGTAGATGGATCAATCTCATCATTCAGTGCTGATAGCAAGATGCATTCTTATCTTCACATCATGTGATGTATATTCCTGGAAAGTACAATTCTGGATAACTGCATTGAGGAAGAACAGAGTTAATATATCTCATAGGCAAAATACCTTATAAGAGGTTTCGCTAAAGTTATATGTAAAATAGAATTAATAAACAATAGTTCAATAGACCCAAATATAGATTATACTGAGAATAATAGGAAATAGTAAATGGAAATAATTTTTCACTCATTGAAACAAAAACATTATTTCTATGAGGAAAATTTAATATTTCTTTCAACAGAAGAAGAAAATCTGGAATGACTAAATTTGTGTGTGTGTGCGTGTCTGTGTGTATATAATATATATATGTATACATATATATATATATATATATATATATATATATATATATATATATATATGTATATATTTTTTTTAAGGTGGAGTGTTGCGCTGTCACCCAGGCTGGAGTGCAATGGCACAATCCCAGCTCACTGCAACCTCTGCCTCCTTGGTTCAAACGGTTCTCCTGCTTCAGCCTCCTGAGTAGCTGGGACTACAGGTGCCTGTAAGCACACCCAGCTAATTTTTGTATTTTTTGTAGAGACAGGGTTTCACCATGTTGGCCAGGCTTGTCTCAAACACCTGACCTTGTGATCGCCCACCTTGACCTCCTTAAGTGCTGGGATTACAGGTGTGAGCCACTATGCCTGGGCTAAAATCTATATTTTACTTGAAAAAATTGCTATTGAATTATTCCACTGCAATGTAAAATGAAGAGGTTAAGTGTGGGCATACCACAGCTGCACATGGCTTGTTACAAGCCATTTTTAGGCAGACTGGTTAGCCATCACTGCCTAAGACTGATTTAGAAATTTACAGTTACACTTGTTCACTCAATATTCTGCACACTATTGTGAATGAGGCATTCTTAATCCAATTTCCCTTGAAGTTATTACATAGAACATAAATAAGAAAAGCTATTGTTATTGTTTTTCATCATTGGAAAGTCAAATCAGTCTGAGGCTGAGTGATAAGAAGCTGTACTTCTAATAAAAGTGAGAAGATTCTTGGGTAGAAAGCACTCAGGGAAAGTTTTTCTTCAGTGTTTATCTTAAATCTAGGCCTTGAAATCCATTTTGTTGAAGATGACAGACATCTATCATTACAGTAACTCCAAGGGTTCCCCATGCCAAGGCACCCACATTCTTTTGAGCACAAAAATTCATAACACTAGAAAAGCCGCTATTAACTATATCATAGAGAAATGGGTGAATTAAGCTACGTAAACAAACAAGACACAGAAAAAATAGTAAGCAGCAAAGTAAATGCTGGACGCATCCCACAGTGAGTGAAAAAGCTAAATATTTTAAATTCTAGGTGCTTGTTCTAGTGATTTCTTTTTTGATGACAGTCATTATGCTCCATGTTCAGATCCATCAAAATGCCCTCACTATTATCAGGGTATGCATTCATTGTTAGCTTACTCAGGTACTATAGACTTTAGAATTATCTGCTTCCTCAGTGAAGTGTCAGATTAGTTTATGTGACAAAACTTAACTGTTACCTGGATTTGCTTACTTTTCTCTGTATTGATTATCAGTATTTATGCTTATAAAATTTGGAATGCTTCTGTTTCGAACATCGAGTCACAATTATAATAGATAAAGTATGTCATGGAATGAATGTGTGTCCCTGAACCAGGATCAGGCCCCTCACCAGACACTAGATCCCCTGGCACCTTGATCTTGAATTTCCACTGTCCAGAACAGTGAGCAACACATATTTGTGGTTTAATTCAACCAATCTATGTTATTTTTCTTATAGCAGCCTAGACAGACAAAATAAAATATATAAAATGTTATCTGCTTGTATGCTAATTAAAATTTGAGCAGATTTAAAAATTATAAAACTGTTATCTGTAAGGATATTGTGCTTGTTTTCCTTGTGCATGTCCAGGGGAAGGAAGTGAAGAAAAATATTTGAAAGCTCAACAATGACTTGACCATTATCTTCTGAACCTTTTATACGTGTTCATTTTATAGAATATAAATATTGGAAGACCATTATCTCATCAATTTATTTAAATATGCTTATGACATACTTAAGATATGCTAGGAATGTTCGCTAACTGGGCTTCCATGAGTTGCAACTCCATGGGCGTAACTCCTCATTTTCCTGGGAATCTGCAGATGTTCAACAGCTAAAACAATATATTTAGTCTTCTGCTGGAATTTATTCTGTGGAACTGTGCTACAGAAGAAACATTTTAAATAAAGTGACACTTCTTTTGTTACTTCGCAACTCCAAGTCTTCTCAGCAGATATCCTAGATATTCTTATACTTAGGAACATTGAGGACAGGGCCACACATTGGGGACAGAAACATTTAGGACAGGGCTTGCACCGATGGTCTAGTCATGTTAACATGTCAACAGGTCACATTTTCTACAGTTGCAATTTGCATATTAAAGAAGGAGGAATTTCCTTTAAATTTTGTAATGTGTAAAGTTTTACATCACTTTTAGGTTTTATGTTTTAAGGAAGGAAGGTTTTAATTGTTTTAAAGAGATGTGTCATTGTCTTCAACTCATTTATAAGGAAAGCACTACAGTTGGAGTGAGGATGTGTGGTGAGGAGTATCAGTGCGTGGGGCAGGGCAGGTATAGCCGGCACAGGAATACTGAACGGGAGAGCCTGTGCCTTGGCATTGTTGAATGTGAGATGATCATTGTTTTAATTTTATTTTATTATTGTTATTATTATTTTGTAGAGACAGAGTGTCGCTCTGTTACCCAGGCTGGAGTGCAGCGGCACGATCTGAGCTCACTGAAAGCTCTATCTCCTGGGTTCACGCCATTCTCCTGCTTCAGCCTCCCAAGTAGCTGGGACTACAGGTGCCCGCCACCATGTCCGGCTAATTTTTTGTATTTTTAGTAGAGACGGGGTTTCACCGTGTTAGCCAGGATGGTCTCAATCTCCTGACCTCGTGATCCGCCTGCCTCGGCCTCCGAAAGTGCTGAGATTACAGGCATGAGTCACTGTGCCCGGCCCATTGTTTTTATTTTTTAGGAGATTCCAGAAACCCAGATTCATATGAGAAATCTCCCAAATTTGGAGTTGGTTAATACAAATAAAACACTGTTTAAAACACCGGAATTTTCATGGTGCATGTGAGTGCTACCATACCTACAGGATAGATTTTGCTTACCTGTGACAACTTCTGTTTAAGAAAGTAGAGTTAATTTTTTTATATATACATTTATTTTTATTATGAAGGAAAGGAGGTTACTTACTAAGGTTTTTGTGGGTATTTTGGAGGCATTTGAATTCTTCCTGATATTCTAACATAATAAATGATCTGCTGTATTTATTTATATGATATACCTTTTAGGATATATATTCTTGACTCTGCTAACAGCCACCAGCATGCATCTGTCTGAAGGTCAGTGTAGGATTTCTGGCTGATGGTGTTCTGGGCCTGAACACCAGTGGCGTGACTTGCTCTTGAGTTGGATCTCCATAGAATCTGACATTTCTGATGTGTCCTAAATTTCTGAAATTTAAATTTTTAAAGATATTATTTCAGTAGTCAGGATATGCTCATTTTTGTTCCATTTCATGTATACTTATTTAATAACTAAAGTTATCTTTTCTTACTGACTCCAGGTTTGTTTTACGACTGATAAGATTTCTAATGAATTCAATCTCTACAGTTTGAGTTGAATTATAACTTCAACTTCTTCTGATTAAAGAATTAAAATAATTTACTAATTTGAGGGCTAGGTTCATGCCTCAGTCTTTTGGGCTCTGGTGTGCCACTTCTTCCATTTCCCATTTCTTGGGGGCCTCCCACTGACCTTGCTGAGTCCTCCACTCCAGCAGGTTGTCCTCTCTCTGCTCGCGTAATGATGCCTGTGTATTTCCCGTGTGGAACACCGGTGTGTCGTTTCTTCCAGGACTTGGCTCAAGTGTCTGTTTCTAGTTTCTTCCTACTGCTCATGCTTCCTTGTATGTTTTCTGCTCTTAATTAACGATACCTGCAGCTTTTCCTACACTCTTCCCTCCTCTATCAGGGAACATATTTCCATCTTCTTCATGTAATTGACGTCTCTTTGCTGGCTGCATTGAATATGTACGGCCTTCCTTTTCTATTTATTTATTTTCTGTGATTTTAAAGCTTCCTTAACTCTCTTCGTTTACCGGATGGGCGTTGTGAGGGGCTGGCAGTGTCTAAACGCCTGGCCTTTGTGGATGAACTGCTTTGGTTGAGATTCTGGCTTCATGACATATGCGCTGTGTGGCTTTGAACAAGTCACTGTGTTTCTCTGGGACTCCATCCCCTCAGCAGTCAACAGGTATGTTCATAACCTCTGCCTCATCAAGTCAAATGAGAGATCACAGGTAAAGTGTCTGCAAAATAATAAGCTTTCAGTGATGTTCTCTTTTTCTTTTACTTTCTTTTCTCTCTGTCTCTCTTTTTTTCTTCTTTTAACAGAGTCTCACTGTGTCATCCAGGCTGGATTGCAGTAGCTCATTCATGGCTCACTGCGGCCTCAATCTCCTGGGCTCAAGGGATCCTCCCACTTCAGCCTCCTGAGTAGCTGGGGCTACTGGTGCATGCCACCATGGCTGGCTAATTTTTCTGTTTTGGTAGAGACAGGGTTTCACCATGTTGCCCAGGGTGGTCCTGAACTCCCGGACTCAAGTGCTTCACCTGCATCAGCCTACCAAAGTGCTGAGATTACAGGCATGAGCCACTGTGCCTGGCCAGAATTTTTTTTGTTTTGTTTTGTTTTTGAGATGGAGTCTCATTCTGTCACCGGGCTGGAGTGCAGTGGCATGATCTCGATTCACTGCAACCTCCAGCTCCTGAGTTCAAACGATTCCCCTGCCTCAGCCTCCCAGGTAGCTGGGATTACAGGCACACACTACCACGCCTGACTGTTTGTTTTTTTGTATTTTAGCAGAGATGGGGTTTCACCAGGTTGGCCAGGATGGTCTTGATCTCCTGACCTCATGATCCACCTGCCTTGGCCTCTCAAATTACTGGAATTACAGATGTGAGCCACTGCACCTGGTCGATGTTTTCATTTAATAATATCATTTTATTGTTATCATTTGTAATTCCTGTGGATTGGTATGGGTTGAATATATACTACACACAAAGCACTGTGTAAGACTTGGGAAATATTTAGAACAGTGGAAGACTTAATCTTTGTCCATAGAAAATGTAATAGAGAAAACGGATCTTTGATAAGTGAACCTGTTTGAGTCCTAGGAGGAAGAGACACCACTGTGGGATTTGATGTCCAAGAGATTTGCTGGTGAACATCTCTTGTGAAGGACAGAAGAGGAACAGGCAGAATCATTAGGAAGTCTTCAGGCTACAGTGCAGGTGCAGCACTCTGAAGAATAGGAGGAAGGAAAGATGGGAACCGAAGAGTCTCAAACCACAGTGTTGTCGACTAACAAAAAATGAAATCTTGCTTGTAAAGAGTTAAGGTTGTTTTATTCAGAAGTCTTGCTGAGGACTGTCACATGAGGACTAAACCGTGGGAGAAGGCTTTCAGGGAGGCTCTGCCATACCGCTCCAGCACAGTGTTTTAGCTCACACTGTATCTACAGGTAGCAGAGGTTTCCATGCATGCAAAATCATGTTAAAGTTTGGGTGTCAGAGGATATTCAGTTATAGGTTACTAAAATACATTTGGTTATAGATTGCAGAAGCATAATTGCTAAGCCCATCAGACATGATCTTTTGTGTAGGAAAAGGCAAGGACTAGGAACATTTATCTTTCAGGAAGAAATATAATGACTCAGGCAACACATGTAGGAGACCACGTGCTGTATCCTGTTTTGTCTTCAAAACAACTTTCTAGAGAACTGCACATCGTCACATAGTCAGGGGCTTTGTGAAATTACTTTGGCAGGAAATGAGCAAACATGGCTTCTTAGCTTTGCTGCTGCTGCTTCTTGCAGCATGGAACTGAGAAAGTGCGGTGAGATGAGCGCGGTTTTCTCAGCATATGCTGCTTCCTGGAGCAGCTTGGAGGGTGCAGTCACCACGTGGAGGTGGCCCAAGCACGAGGCCTCTGTGGATATGCAGTCGAGGACCCCAAGGGTGGCAGGTGGAGGCTGTCTGTCAACTGCATTTCTGACCACAGTTTCTCTTGAAGCACAGCCAGGAGGTGCACATTTATGACCACAGCGTGTGATTACAGGGATGGCTGGTGTTTTATGATCAGGAAACCCAGGGTCATGAGAAACCCAAGTTACCCAAAGAGGCTCTAGAACGTTTTCCTGGAGAAGGGGCATGAAGTGGAGAAAGGTAAGATGAATAGAATTTCACGAAGTGAACATGAGATGACGTGTGTCTCAGGTGGAAAATGCACCAGGCTGCACTGATAACAACTGACTCACTATTTGTGAAATAACAGAAAGACTGATGGAGCTGCTACGCAGCATCTTTGCTGTTTAGCAATTTTACTGACCTTCAGGTATAGGTTACATAAATATGAATTATTAATAATTTTATTATATGCTTGGTTATAGAGGTTATAATTTTATACAACATTGGGGTAATTATGTAAGTTCCTATGGATGACTTACACACACAACAAAAGTGAATATCAGTTTCCAAGAACTTAATATGAACCCTCGTCTCTCACCTTTCTAAAGGAATTTTATCTCTTACTTTTCTACTCCATGGTTATATATTTTAACCCCTTCTTTATTCATAAAGCCTCCAAATGCCATGGTTCAGTGTATTTGGTGAAATAGTATATGAAGATTTTTTTTAATATTTTATAACATAACCAGAGAGTGGAAACAGAAAACTGAAAATTAAATCATCTGTAATTCCATAATTCAACTCTAAACTGTTATTATTTACACATTTAAGTTTGGACTTTTGTTTTCATTTTAAGTTTATCCAACATTTTAAGTTTATCCAACTTAAAGTCATAAGAGACTAAAGCCAGCATATGCTCATAAGTTGACAATAATACAAAGACCAGATCTTGATTCCAAGCAAGGGCCTATTTGCGTATTTAACCCCAGTGAAGTATAAACATGCAGCAGCAGAGTTTTCACTGTTCATAACTGCTTAAATACAAGATGAGGGCTCCAAAGGGGGACTTTGCAAAGAACTCTACGATGAATGTACAATCAAGAAACAATACTGCCTTAAGCCAGTTCAGTCAGGGAAAGTATCAAATACAGGAGGTCAGAAAAAAAAACATGATCAGTTGAAATCTCTATTTTTTGTTTTGTTTTGATTTGATTTATTTATTTATTTATTTTGAGACGGAGTCTCACTTTGTTGCCCAGTCTGGAGTGCAGTGGCACGATCTCCATTCACTGCAACGTCCACCTCCTGGGTTCAAGCAATTCTCCTGCCTCAGCCTCCGGAGTAGCTGGGATTACAGGCGCCACCACCATGCTGGGCTAATTTTTTTGTATTTTTAGTAGAGGCGGAGTTTCACCATGTTGGCCAGCCTGGTCTAGAACTCCTGACCTCAGATGATCCAGCTGCCTCAGCCTCCCAAAGTGCTGGGATTACAGGTGTGAGCCATGTGTCTGGCCAAAGTCTCTATTGTTTATTAGGGACTAGTGTTTGAGCAAGGTACTTGCTTTCGGAGTCTTCCTGTCTTAAGCTCAGTGGAATCCCATGAGAATAATTGTACTTACCTGTTACTTTGAAGTCAAACTGCAACCCTCACTTAAGCTGATTATTAGGTTAAAAAATACTTTGTTAGAGTTAAAAAAGATTATTAATTTGAAAAATACGTTTTAGTGATGGTGCTTCATAATATAATACTACGGAGAGTTTTAAATCATAAAAAAGTGAAGAATCAAGTGGTTAAGTGGAAATCTTCCAAAAGTGTATATTCTGTGTGTTTGTGGAAGTGGATACTCACCAGGGCTTTCTTATCTTTACTGACTAAAGTGATAAGGGGACACATTACATCACATCCTGCTCTTGTTTAGATGCTTTTGTAGTTACTCTTTTCCCACAGATTAACTTCTTATTATGATTTTTAAGGTCCTGGGTGCCTTGGCCATTTACATTTCAGTAAATGTTTGTGGAATTGATTGATTCATCGCTGAGTCAGTATGACATAAGGCATTGTTAGCCATAGCTCAGTGGTCTGTATTTTGGGTCAGTCAAAGGCAGCTGGTCACTGTAGTAAAAATAAGGCCACCTTATTATTTATCAGCTTCCTGAAAAATATGCATAGCCTAAGATATGATGAAAAACTAAAAACTGAACACGTCATCTTTACACTGTCCGACTCCCATTTCATTTATAAAAAGAGTGTGACTCTGATGTAGAGCTATGAAACGTAACGAGAAATGAAAAGAAATCTAACCTGAACGTGGGGCACGGAGACTTACGTGCCATCTTAATGCTGTCAAACACCTTTGAAATTGACCCTTTGCTGTATAGAAATTTATTAAATCTGACCTTTTTCCTTCCTTCTATTCCTTTCTTCCTTGCTTCCTTTCTTTCTTATTTCCATCCTTCCTTTCTGTTCTGGGATACTGCTGTCCCCCTTCCCCCACCTCCCCAAAACACACACACATTTTAAGTATCTTAATACTGTTGTTTTTCTGCCTTCATTCTCACGTTGTTAAAGATGTATTTTATTTCTCAACTGATAATATTTCTTCAGTCATTTAAATGATAGAATCAATGTGCTTTTAAAAATGTATTTCATCTCATTTCAAAAAAAAAAAACCTCGCAGATTTTCAGATGGATTACTATGCTGTGAATTCTTAGATAATGCTATCAAATTATATCTTGGCATATCAAGGCATCTGCTAGATTTTCATTTTCCTCTTTTCAGTTAGAACCTAGTGATTTTCTTTGATAGAAATATAGACCAATTTGATGCCTTTAGCTTGTAAGAGCTAAGAAATTCTAGGAATAGCACTGAGGGTAGCTGTCTGGTAGCAGGTTTGAACTCAGCCTCGAATCCGTCACCAAATTCTAACTGATGGAGCTAAGCAGGAAGGAAAAGCAAAATTAACCTTTACAAATCACCCAGGATATGGCAGAGATTGCATTTTGACAGCATTTTATAAAGTATGTTTCATGACCCATAAGTGATTGTTAAAAAATCCTTTATAAAAATTACACTTGAAAAATGTTGCTTAATCTCAATTTTAGAAATTCAGAATGCACATTAGCTTACATAAAGAAGCATAAAGCAGATACAGGTTGAATATCACTTATCTGAAATGCTGGGGCAAGAATTATTTCATAAATTTTGATTTTGCAGGGAGTTTGGAATCATTGCATTATACGTATTAGTTACACATCCCAAATCCTAAGTGCTCCAATGAGTGTTTGATTTGAGCTTTATGTCAGCACTCAGAAAGTTTGGGTGTTTTGGATCATTTTGGATTTGAGGTTTTCGACTTTGCGATGCTCATCTTGTGAATATTTTGTGGCAATGTGTTTCCGCTAATTAAACTTATGGAAAAAAACTTTTGTTGTTTGCATTGCACTATCACTATCCTATTAAACACTTTATGGGAAAAAATGAACAGGATTATTTTACCATATACTATTCGTTTATTCTTTGCTATTTAGACAAGTAGGTATTATTTTCTCTGTTGTACCGAGAAGGAACTGAGGTTGAGAGATAATTCGATTATTCGGGGTGCTGCTCGAGACTTTCCTCATGAGACTGTAGCAAGCAATATGAGCACAGTGTGGATGCGATATGTCCTCTGTACCCTGGCCTCTCCGTGTAGTCTTGCCAGCTTACAATGCTCTTAAAATTGTTATACAGTTATTTTTGGACATCTTCATAACCTTAAACATTATTTAAAATAGGTATTCTATACTATTTTACAATTAAAATTTATGAAAATGGTCAAGATTAATTTTAAAAGAACCATAAAATAACTTTCATTTTCCTGGGAGAAATCCTAACTTTTCTGATATAAAGTATCCCCATAATAAAATGTTGTCGTAAATTCAAAAGAATTAATACAAAAATTGGATCTATGCATAGCATACTTATTAAATCTTAATGTCTGCGTTATTTTGTTTTTCCATTTGATGCAAACATTCCCTAAGTAAATTCGAGAAATTTAAACTAAAATAATTATATTTTATTTAATTCATTGAGTATAAGGGAAGCATTTAGAGGTTCAAAAATATACTTACAGAAAATCAATCATTTTATATAGAAAAAGAAATTCACTTCCTAAAGTAAGGAACTGTTGAAAAGTTTCTTCATATTTTACACAGTAAAGATACACTTGACTTTTTTTAAAGAAAGTCTTTTCAGTCTTTTAGATATAATTTTCGTATTTTATAACTCTGGCTTAAAGTATATTAAAAGCTAATAGGTTTTCTAATTTTCTTTCAATCTCAGTATTATTTTGCATTTGTTAACTGAAATGGAACTTTCTTATGGTTTCCCTGAAAGGGTGCAGGCTCCTGTGAAGAATCTCACCCCTAAAGAGACTTATTCCTCTCCATTGCTGATTGAATTCTGACAAAAGCAGCATTTTTATCATGAAGAATTAAAACACTCCATAGAGATATAAGCTGCTGAAACCCAAAGTGAGGTATCAATGATCCTTCCTGGAGGCAATTGTAACAGGAAAAAGGAACTGGGATGCAGATGGAGAGTAGAAAACCAAGTGGCCAGGCAGGAAGGCTAGCTTCACCTGTTTCAGAATCGCCCCCTGATTTGTGAGGTCCTTGACAACAGCATGTCCAAATCTGGTCTCCATGCACCTGCGCTGGAGAGGAAACCCAAATGGCCCACGACATTCCCCGTCCCTCCCATGTTCCATCCATTGCCAGGTCCATTTGTTTTTTCCTTCTGAGCATCTCCCAAACATGCCACTGCACCTGTCTTTTTTCTGGCATCTTCCCTGACCGAACAGCCATCTCCTCTCAGATTTCTGCAATAACCCGTAAGCTGGTCTTCCTGCATTCATTCTTATTCCTACCAATCTGCCATCTGAAGTCAGAATGATCTTTTCAAATGTAAAAGTGATCATATTTCACATCGATTGAAACCTTTCAAAAAGCATCCTATCATTCCTAAAAATAAATAGCTAAATTCCTGCCATGGCCTACTTGGAATTGCGTGGGCTGGCTCCTACCAGCATCTCTGAGTCTTACTTGCGTGCTCTCCTTCTGGCTCTGTGTTCCTCAGGGGCCCTGGTGGCCCCTCCAGCAGGCTTGGCTTACTCCATCCCACAGGAATTCGTTGCCTAGAAGACAGCATCCCACATCCATGAACACCATCATCACCACCTGGGCCTGGCAACCTTCTATTTATCTTCAGCTTTTAACCCCATCAATGCTTACTCAGAAAATACTGGACTGCCTCAACAGGGACGGACGCTGCTGGCTCATGGGTTTCCCTGGCCAATGACTAGCACTCAATAAAGTTCGAATACATCACTACAATAGTAAAACTTGCAAACCTAATTTTTAGGTATTTATGATGATTCTTATCACATTGTTTAATATTTATGGTAAATGTTGCCTATGGCAACTTAGCAATAAGGTAAAATCAACACATCCTGAGAACGGTGTATGATATTTAAATGTCATATACAGCTTCGCTCTTAACTTCCATACAACTCAACTATTATCACTCCAGTAATTTCTATAAAGCCACAAATTAAACAGGAAATTTGTTCCAGATTCTCAAATTATTACGTGAACATTCTAATGTTAAAAAGTGACTGTGTCTGGGCGCGGTGGCCTGTTCACGCCTGTTATCGTAGCACTTTGGGAGGCCGAGGCAGGTAGATCACCTGAGGTCAGGAGTTTCAGACCAGCGTGGGCAACATGGTGAAACCCTGTCTCTACTGAAAATATGAAAATTAGCCGGGCATCGTGACGCATGCCTGTAGTCTCAGCTACTCAGGAGGCTGAGTCAGGAGAATCACTTGAACCCGGGAAGCATAGGTTGCAGTGAGCCGAGATTTCTCCACTGCACTCCAGCCTGGGCGACAGATCGAGACTCTGCCTCAAAAAAATAAATAAATCGCGATTGTTTCCACAAGTGACTAATATAATAAATATGTTGAATTTACACACAATATTAAAAACCTGAAGTTTGGTACTGACGAGACAGCAGGGATATAATGTGGAACACTGGGCGGTTAGATCGCAAGGTCTACTAAGCTTTGGCCAGACTGTCTCATGCCAGCAGACATCAGCGTGACAGGCTAAATGGACTCCTTCACATTGAGGTCAATTCCAGCTGAACCAGTCATCAGATTTTTTGTGCTTGTTTTAGGCAGCTTGTTTTGGTTTATGCTAACCCAGTCCTGTGTCTTCCCAGCTAACCCAATCATGTCCCTTGTAAATAGATGATCCAGAAGTCTTTTCATGGCAGACATAGGACGATTACACGTTACTCTGAGCAGTTAGAAATATTCTGTACACTAATAGCATTGCCATGAGGCACAATTAACGTCACTCTAGAATCCTAAAAATAGTGGGAAATGTGCTGAAGATAGTTATGATCTCACTGATGCTTTTCATGCTATATTGGTAGAGCTAAGCTGGTTTCTAAAGTGCTAGATCAAAAATAATCTAATTTAGAATGTTTAATGTGTTCTTAAATATGATAGCTAAAAAAATCACATAAAGAACATCAAAACTCTTTTTAAGCAGTCTCTCCCTCCTTTATTTTTGAATAAAATGGTTTGCTTTCATTTGTAAAAAAAAAAAAAAAAAAATTCTTTTTCAGTTTATAAATGCCTGTCAGGAGTAATTAATGAAAATAATACAAAATGAAGCCTTATAAATGTTTATAAATGCCTGTCAGGAGTAATTAATGAAAATTACACAAAATGAAGCACTTTTACCCAGAGCTGATATATGAAATCTTAGTCTTTGGAGTGAAGTGGAATGAGGAACTGTTACATTTATGATGGTTGCAGACTGTCCAGATTTTAGAGCTGAGTTCCACAGACACACATGTGAAACATGGGAAAGGGAGGCGACAACTGAAAACGTACAAAGCAACAGTGAGGTGTTCACAAGGTACGGGGCTCATAGGTACCTCGAAAACTATCTTTGAAAGAAGTAATTGGTACCTAGAGAGTGGTGTTATTTTAACATTTTGAAAATGTGAGCTTATTATTAACGTGCTTCATGTTCTGACTCGGTGAAATGTCACCAAGCAGCCAGCATACATAAGCAAGGTACAAGAGAGCAGAAAGAGACGGGAGGGAAGGCCTGGCCCTTCTGGGGAATAGGAACTTGCCATCTCACCTGTTCCTAGGGAAGAGGTTTAAAAGAAGAGCTTCTCAGCTAGATTTTCACAAACATCCAGCTAGAGCATAATTGCAGTGGGCTATCCTGTGAAGGAGGTGGGGTTAGGTGTGTAAAGCACTTTACCACCCTTCTGAGATGACTGTTCAAACGATGCCTATCTAGTTTCACTTTAAATTTTAAAGCTTCTGAGCATCTTGTGATGGGGTAATAGACCCATCTCATTAAGATCGATTGCTAGGCTTGGTACCTCAGAAAACAGCTTTCATTTTTTTTTTCCCCAATTGAAACTCACTGTGATTCCAGAAGTCCATTTCAGGAGAACCGGATGCCCAAGATACTAGTGCTTCCCAGGGAATGGAAAGCTGACTTCATTAATCTTCTCCAGAGTTCTGCATATATCTGGGCAGAAATTTCCCACCCAATAAATCTGTTCTTGGTACTATTTCTACACCTTCACATTGTTGAACCAATAGGAGATGGGAATGGATGCAAGTCTTTGAGACAGGATTCGGGATTTGAGTAGGCTCTTCCTTAAAGTTCACAGAAGCCAAAAGAAAAAAAAAAGAATGTGAGATTTGAGTGTAGGGATATGCATAACGTTTCAGGGAAGGATTTTCCCAGGTCCTTCTGAAGCAGAAACACAGCAGATGAGTTACTAACCTTGAAAGGGAGGCTCACATTGAGACCAAGCTACATAGAATAGCATGCTTTGTATCTTAAGATTAAAAAACAAATGATGTTTAAAATCCCAATGCATGTTAGATTTTGTGCCTTCTAAGACACCCCATTAATGTCAGTGCTAGCATATGTCAGTTCCTTATTTCATTCAATTGACAATAATTTGATTAGTAATTTTGAAATTAAACTGTTAAAGCTACTTCTAGATCTTTTAGTTTGCTAAAGAATGTGACCAGCTAGGAGCAGTGGCTCATGCCTGTAGTCCCAGCATTTTGGGAGGTCAAGGTGGGCAGATTGCTTGAGTCCAGAAGTTTGAGTCTGCCTGAGCAACATGGTGATACCCCATCTCTACAAAAAAAAAAAAAATACAAAAAATTAGCCATGTGTAGTGGCATAAGCCAGGTATCCCAGCTACTAGGGAGGCTGAGGTGGGAGGATCATTTCAGCCTGAGAGGTTGCAGTGAGCTATGATTGTACCACTGGACTCCAGCCTGGACTCCAGCCTGGGAGATAGAGCAAGACCCTGTCTCAAAAAATAAATAAATAAATAAATTGATCCTGAGAAGTGTTGGGACCAACATTGTCCTGTATGTTAAACTGAGAAGCCTGGATTTGATGGCAGCATCTTGAGTGTGGGGTGACATGGTGGTGCCTGGAACCTGCAGAGAGTCAGCCAGGGAAGACCATAGGGATGGTTGGGCAGGTAGCATTCAATTTCAAGTTGTTTTTCTGCAAACTAAAATATCACCATCAGGTCAAATCCTTCGTGAAGAATGAGAGGATCTAAGTGAAAACAAAAGAAAGGACAGTAGTCCGCATGGGGTTTGGTGGGGAGGAGAATTAAGGGTAGTGGATGAAATGGTGTACACAGCACACCAAAGGCACTCACAGCCGGGGGACCATGAGAAGACAAGAGATTGGGTTTCACATACAGCCTTGAGTCAGTTGGATTTTAACTATAAAAAGATAGCCTGCCTCTGCATTCGAGGATTTTCAGTATTACAGGAGGGTTGGTGGAGCTGGTGGACATTTCTGAGCTGAGTCCGTGGAAGGTAAGATACACAGGATCTCCACATAGATGTTGCCAGACCCAGGTCAGTGTCTCTTTAGGTAATTATAACCACATTTTATTTTAAAACATTCAAAATAGTGAATCTAGTTTTGAGAATTTGTTGTCAAGGACTACTTCAAAAGGCAGGATTTTATAAATCCTGATATTAATTTGGGCAGCCTTTGTTTGGTGTATTTCTTTTTAATGAATTCGTTGAAATGCTCATAGTCAGATACTCAGGAAACTAACTTGAGCCAAGTCCTGGGTCTCCGTTTTCTAGTATGTAAAATGATAGGATCAAAGTATTTCAAGGAGAGCAAATAGTTTTCCATTTCTGTGTCGACTTGGACCAATTGGTGGTGGTTTGTAGAGCACTGTGTTGATAAAGATGATTAAACTGCCTCCGGGCTCAGAAGAAAAAGTTGTTAAGATTGATTTTAAACATGTGACACTGTGGACTGGATAATAGACAAGGTGAGTTAGGAGAGTATATTTGTCACCTTTGTCTAGGTAAACTGTTAGAGATCCTTTTAAATCCCAACATCTATGATTTCATTACCTATTTAAAAATCACCTGCTTTTGTGTTTTCTGGTTTTTAAAAAATGTTTCAAAAAATAAACTTTATCCTGCAAAAATAGGAGTTTTTGGTTAACAGCTTCCGCACAGTTAAAGATAGAGAATAAGCTGATGTATCAAAGTGACC
Organism: Homo sapiens; assembly: GCF_000001405.40. Lineage (NCBI taxonomy): Eukaryota > Metazoa > Chordata > Mammalia > Primates > Hominidae > Homo > Homo sapiens. Next base: position 4,550,465 of record NC_000008.11, on the reverse strand, counting down.
TAAAAATGCAATACCTTTAGTTTACAGTTTTTTTAATAGCCAAGAAATGAGTCATCTAAGCTAGTGGTGATGTTCAGCTTTCTATGCCATCTAGGGACCGGGTTTGTGTGTGTGTGTGTGTGTGTGTGTGTGTGTGCGTGTGTGTATGCTTCTTCCAATGAAATGTGTTGTATTCCTCATGATCAAAGTTGGCCGTGAAACCACAACCATGGAAATGAGAAGCAAAAGTGAAGGCTGAGAAATGTGCTTTCAAGAGGTACAGGGAAAGTTGCACACAGCACATCCCATGAACTTCTTTTGCTGAGACCTTCGTCATGTGGCCACACCAAGCAGAAAAGGAGAACTGGGGAAAAGTCCGTTTCTACCGAGCAACCCACGCCTATCCAAACATGGGGGTGTTCCAATTCTGAGGATGACAAAAAGGAATGCTGCAGCCACTTTTCTCCTCCACTCTTGTCCTTGATTAACAGAAATGTGACTCAAAAGTTACCATTTTAAGAGAATGTTGAAAATGGCCATTCACCTAAGTAATGTCTTTTCTTTTCTTTTTTTTTTTTTTTTTTTTTTTTGAGACAAAGTCTTAGATTGTCACTCTGGCTGGAGTGCAGTGGCAAGATCTTGGCTCATTGCAACCTCTGCCTCCTGGGCTGAAGCGATTCTCCTGCCTCAGCCTCCCAAGTAGCTAGGATTACAAGTGTCAACCACCACACCCAGCTAATTTTTGTATTTATAGATTTATAGTAGAGACGGGGTTTTGCCATGTTGCCCAGGCTGGTCTTGAACTCCTGAACTCAAGTGATCTTCCTGCCTCAGCCTCCCAAGGTGCTGGGATTACCGGTGTGAGCCACCGCGCCCGGCCATTCATGTCTTTGTTGATCCAAGAGTGCCAGCATCACGTAATGCGGGAGGCTGTGCACATGACTGTCTTTCTTGGGTAGGGAGGAATTGCAAAATTATCTGTAGGTTAAAGAGTTATTGGAAGACTGGGAATCAGTGGAAACCTATTTAACAGAGTCAATTAAAAAAGCAAAAGAAGATGGATAGAAATAAATCACAATTAGAAAACTGTTACTGTGTTTTGTTTAGGTTAACCAATATACCCCATTATTAGAGAGTCATTTTTCTTGTTTCTGGAATAATTTCTTTTACCCTTTTCCTTCCCCTCGCATTCCAAGTCACCTGGGTGTTTGGTCTTCCGTTATAATTTCTTTGGCATTCTGGAATATGGTAGGGTTGATAACATTACATTGCTGCCAATGGAGTGATTTCCAGAAATCAAGTCAGCTGAGAGGAATCCCTTGAGTCAGTCTGTGTAAGAAAGACAATTGGGGCAAGATGCTATTTTTTTAATGACCACTTTTCTTAAGTCAAACTTATGGAAGTTTAATGAAGTTAATGAAGTTAAAAACATTAAATGAATGTGAAAAGTCAACAAAATATACTTAATTACTCATAATCTGATAAACTTGGAAATAAAAAAATACAATTGCGTCTCAAAACTTTATGCAAAATTAACTTAGATAGATCAAATATGGAGGTAAGAGAAATTTCCAAGGTAACAGGATTCTAAATGTATTTTAAGGTACAGAGAAATACTTTACCTCCTGCGCGCATCACATGTCCCCCCAAGACCAAGGCAGTATGCTCTCCATATATCAGGTTGTTGCATGGTTTCCCGTGAACTAACAGGAAGGCACCTGGGAATGCAGCTGCTTTCAAAGCGGTTCTGTAATTACCTTGACAACTGGAGATCAGTTAAAAAAGAGAAATGCTTTGTAGACAGGTAGATGGAAAATCAAACACCTAATTGTGATGATTTTTGAAATCATTCTGTGGGGAAAAAAAGCCATTTGCATCTATTACTAATCAAATCATATTTAATTATATATTTAAAAAGAAAAGCTTGTGCATTGAATTCAGTGTGACATGAAAGGCATTCATTTTTTATTTTTGCATGGCATTTTCATTCTGAGGGCTTATGTCTTGCTTTATATGAATGCAATTACATTGATTTCATATTTATATGAAAGTCAGGAATGTTATAGCATAACAAAGAAATAGACTATGCGTCTAAATATACAACATGAATATTCAATGAACGACAAAATACGATAGAGTATTTGCTTCTTGGGGTGATATTATTAAAATAAAAATGAGACTTATACATGACTAAATTAAAAAGTGAACTTTTTTCGATAGTTTTCATAAAGATAACTTCATTTTTGCACTCAACGTACATTTTTTATTAAATGCCAATTTTTGACGGCGCTATGTTAGGCCCAACATAAGCTCTTGTAGGAGTCTCCAATCCTAGACATTCGGTACCATCCAAAACAGTATCATCATCAAAGCAAATAAACTATGAGAACAAGCTGTAATTCCTTCTTTACACTGTGCCTTTTATTTAATATATTGCAAGGGTTGGCTGTAACCCACAATGTTTTTTAAAGGGAGTACTGGATTGCTTGGGAGTGCCTGGCCTACATTTGCTCAATAAATGTAATTACCCTTCTTTTGTTTTCCAGACCCAAAACAAAGTTGTTTTCTCGGCCTTTATTTTGTCATGGCTGAATTATTGCTCAGATTTCTTCTGGGATATCCCGTCCAATCCCCGTGCAACAACAACAAAACCTAACCATTCTTGTTTCTCTCTGCCACATTAACACTCTATTTTCTTGAACATTAAATTTCCAGGGTACAAGAGTTTTCATTCAAAATTCCTTGTATCAGAATCATCTGCTTATAGCTTCTACTCCAGATAAGAGACTTTTTAATTTACCATTTCTCATACAGAACTCAATCATTCGTTTTACATTCATTGAGTATAATGTTTAAGTCTTTTTAATTGTGGAAAAACAGTAAAGAATGACACAGGCATTACTTGAGAGATAGATGATGGTTTATCCAAGTATCTACGAACAGGTAAATACAGTGAGAGCAGAGTGTGCATAGGGACCTGGTAGAAAAAAAGAGGCCAGAAATGTGGGCTGCTGCATATAATGAAAGTTTCTTTTTTTCTTTTTCAATCTGATGCTAGGAAGTTGTATTTTCTTCTAAAATCCACTCACAAATATAAAAGAAGAAAGTAATATTTTCAGATACGTGTTTTAGAAAGTTCACTGCTGTGGCAACGTGGAAAATTGATTGGAAAATTCAAGCCTAGTTATAATGCCTTTACATTTAGTAATCTGAAAGATGGCAACACCCAGACTCAGCAGCCGCAGGAAGGAAACCACAGAGGCAGAACCCAGGCTTGCTGGATAACGGGGGCCTAGTTTAATAAGTGGACGGGTTGGGATAGAGACAGAAAACAGCAGGTCTGATGAAATAATTTAGAAACAGGTCTGGGGGATGCATATATTGAATTTTAGGTGACTATGAAATATACAAATAGACAAGTCCAAAAGGTAGTTGGATGTATGAATTTGGAGCTCAAAGAAGATGTCTGGGTATGAATTATAGATAAGGATGTAGGGCACACAGGGTGATGCCTACTTCATGTACGTGAATGAGGCTATCCTGTAGGGGCAGAGGAGAATCAACATCTCAGGGATGGTGTGTTAGGGATCTCCAGAGAGAGACAACTAGCAGTGTACAGATAGGATATACATATATATGCATATGTTGTATTATATACAAATATTATAATTATAAATATAACTATGCATATATTTTTATATATTATATGTAGCATGTATAATTTATATGCATACACATATATATTTATTATGGGAATTGACTTAGCTATGATTATGAAGGCGGAGACGTCTCATGATCTGCTATCTACAGGCTGGAGATCCAGGAAAGCCATTGGCGTAACTCAGCCAAGGCCAAAGTCCTGAGAGCAAGAAGAGTTAGTGGTCAAAGTCCTGTCCTGAATCTGAAGGCCTGAGAACCAGAAGTGCTGATGTACTAGGGTAGGAGAAGATGGAGGTCCCAGCTCTGGAAAAGAGAAAATTCACCGTTTATCTTTTGTTCTTTGTGGCCTGCCATGGGTTGGTCGGTGCCCGTGGAATGGTAAGGGTGGTTCTTCACTCAGTCTGCCGATTCAAACTCTAATATCTTCTAGAAACCCCCTCACAGACACACTCAGAAGCAATCTTTTACCAGCTATCTGGGCAACCCTTACCCCAGTGAAGTTGACACAGAAAATTTACCATCATAAATGGCCGGAGAGGAAAAGACAGAAAAGAACATGGAAAGGACCCTCCAGAGGGAAAGAAGTGGTGGGAGCAGGGGCTTGTGGTCTTGTGCGACCAGGGCCAAGGCCCGTAGATATAACAAGGACATAATAAACTGAAAAATGTTCATTGGATTTTGATTCTAGAAGCCTCTGATGAGCTGAAGAAAGTTTCAGTAGAAATCTTTCCATTTATACCTGGGTGAGGGTGTCTGATGAAGTTGACTTGCAGGTGGTAAGTGGAGGGAAGCTGAAAAGTCTCTGTAGATGCAGCTGTGGATGGAATGCAGTAGAAGGGGGTCATAAGAAGGGGATTCAGGCGACATGGGAGAAAGTTTCTTTCTGAGAAAGAATAGGCAAGAATGTGATTAGATGATGGAGAAAAGAGAGAACTAAATGTAAAATATAGGGGATAGAGGACACCTGATGAAATGATCTTCCTAGAAACTGTCTCCTGTGTGGCCTAGATGATGAGCTAGTTTGCTCTGCAATGGATTTTAACATGGTGCATGATTCCAGGTACAGATGCGTTTTTCCATGGATGCCTGTGAAAGTGAGGAATTTGCTATCCGTTGGCATCAGCTTTAACAGAGAAAATAGTGAGCATGTCTCACTGCACACTGGGAAACTCCTAGGGTGTCTTACTCCTAGCCACGAACCAGCCAACCACTTTTTCTCTAGCCAGGGCTTCTGTTGCCAGTATCACTGTGACCCAAAGAACCTTTCATTTTTGTGTTACATTTTTATATATGTAGATTCTTTCGTAGGGTCGTGAGATCTACCCACTAGTTTATTTTTAAAGATATATTGAAAAGTAGGTAAACGAGCCCTTCCTATTTTTACCTCTCTCCTAATATGTAGGACTCTTATTAATCAAGGCAGACGTTGAGTGTTCATTGATTGAAAACTCCATATTTGGAGGAGAATAAAACGAAAGAATAATAAATATTTATGAAGGGCTTTTCTGGTGTTAGAAACTGTTGAGTCATTTTGCAACAAGTATTTCATCTTTCATTGAGAAAGCACTGTGAAGTAACTATACATTACTGCACCTCCCATTTTATGACTAAGAAAATGCAAATTCCATTGTTCAGGTTCTCATAGCTGTTTCTCACAAATATGATTTTTAAGAAAGGTCTGTTTCACTTTAAAACCTGTGCTCTTTCCAAGTTACTATGTCCCCTCTTAACATGCCTTTTATATACATCATACACACATATGTGTGCACACACACGTATATTGTTTAAATGGGTGCATGCATTCAGATACGTGCGTGATAAATATAGAGTAAAATGCATTACGAATATGCTTATAGACAACAAGTGACATATTATGTTTTTAAACTTCTCAAATATATTTCTGAATTTCAATGTAAGTGGAACATTAAAGACCAATGTGATGGAGAAGATTCCTTGCTGCTTATTCAATTCCAGTTCCCTATTTTTGGAAGCAGTGAAGCATTAATGTGTTACAGGTAGCTAATTCAGGTTTTTGGTCTATAAGTGAACAGCAGTGCTGCCCTTCAAAAATGGATTTGCTCTGACACTGTAACATTGACCCATGCCTGAGAATGAATTTTCAAGGATACATTGTAATACACCCTGGCTTAAAGCTGGACATGGAATACGTTAATGCATCTTACCAACTATAGTTAAATTGTATTATTTTATTTATAGTTGAAGATTTGTGTATATTTTTAAGATTAATATATAAATTTTTCCTTCTGTGTCCTCTAAAGCCTTATAAGTAATTTTTAAAAGTCAGCAGTGGATCCCAATGTAACATATATTAGCTAAAATAAAAGTCAATTTTTATGTAACGTTACAAGGAAAGAGTAAACTACATATAACTATTACAAAATTTTATAACTACTGTAATTTTTATTAATAAAAGTAACAATAGATTTTTTAAAAGAAAAACTTTGATTCAATAACAACTGGACATCTACCTACCAAAATTAAATAAATAAATTTAGATATTGACAATAGACCTCTTACAAACAGTAACTAAAAATGGCTCATAGACCTAAATATGAAATGCGAGACTATATAACCACACAAGGATGACAAAGGAGGAAACTCAGATGGCTTTAGGTTTGGCAATGGTTTTTACATACAACATCAAAGGTGTGATCCATGAAAAAATCATTTAAGTTGGACTTTATGCAAATTAAGAACCCTAAGAAAGACAATGTTAAAAGAATAAAAGGCAAGCCACAGACTGGGAAAAGTAATTGCAAAAACGGATTTCTGATAAAGGGCCTGTGTCCGAAAATATATAATTAAATGTAAAACTCAATAGAAAACAATGAACCTAATAAATGGGCTAAAGACCTTAACAGACACCTCACCAAAGATGATAAACAGATGTCAAATTATCATATGAAAAGGCGCTCCACATCTTATGTCCCTAAGGAATTGCAAATTGAAACAATAATCAGATACCACCACATTCCTAGTAGAATGGTTAAAATTCAAAATGTTGACATCAAATGCTGGTGAGAATATGAATCCACTGGAACTCTCAGTCATTAGCGGTGGGAATGCAAAATGGTACAGCCCGTTTGGAAGACACTTTGGTGTGGGTTTTTTTTTTTTTTTTTTTTTTTTTTTTTCAAAATTAAACGTGTCCTTCCCATATGATCCAGCCATCATAGGTATCTACTGAAATGAATTGAAACTTATGTTCATACAAAAACCTGTGCATGAACGTTTATAGTCAAAACTGGAAGCATCCAATATGTGTTTCGGTTGGTGAATGTATAAACTGTGGTCCATACAGATAATCAAAATTATTCAGGGCTAAAGGGAAACAATTAATTCATGCAAGGGCATGGAGGAAACTTAACTGCACAATGCTAAGTAAAATAAGCCAATCTGAAAAGGCTACAAACTGTATAATTCCAGATATATGACATTCTGGAAAAGGCAGAACTATGGGGACGCTAAAAGGATGGGTGGTTGCCAGGGGGTGGAGGAAGGGAGGGATGAACAGGTGAAGCTTTGGGGATCTTTAGGGCAGTCCACACCGTCAGATGTGATTCTGTAATGGTGGATGCATGACTTTGTACATTTGGCAAAACTTACACAGCTGTATAACACAAAGAAATAGAATGTCAATAATGGACTTGAATCAATAATGTATCAGTATTCATCAATTGTAATAAATGTGCCACACTAATGCAGGATGTTGATAATAGGGAAAACTATGGGAGGCATGTGAGGGGTATATATGAAATCTTATTTCTGCTACATTTTACCATCACCTTAAACCTACTCTAAAATATAGACTATCAATTTGTAAAACACTGGTTATAAATTGCAAATATGCCATGATTATAACTGTATGGAGGCAGGTGCCCTGAAGAAACATTAGATAAATATTCAAAAATGCTAATATATTTCTATTAGAGTGATAGAAATATACTGTGAAAAAAACTTTTTTCTTTATTTACAAATATTTAATAATATAATCATGTTATATTTCTTGAATATTTTAAAATATGTATGGCTACCATATGTTTACTTTGTACTTTCACTTATTTTTTTCATGACCATCCATTGAATTATATGTTCCCTAATTTAAATAGATTCAAACTATCTTCTGCCGCATAAGATACAGTGGTGATATAGTCTGTTAATCTCCATTCTCTTGCATTGGAGCAAAGTGAAGAAGTTACATTGAAAAAAATTGCGTTAGCAATAACATAAAATACTGGGCAAAAATGACAGCACCCTTTTATCTTCTAATTTGCAACAGCATTCATAAAGGAGGCTTCAATAATTGTGCTTTTTTAAAAAATTGATTTGGTGATCTATTCAAATATCCCATTGTTCTCAGAACTGTGTTCTATAAAACGTCAGTGTCTAGTGAGATTTTTAATGGTTATTCTTCTGAAGAGAAAACTTAAAAATTAAAACTTTTTTTTTGTTAGTAAGTTTGTATCTTTTATTTTCTGTTATGGAGAACGACAATTTATATTAACATATTCATGGGTTTTGTTGACTGTGTTTATCCTAATATTTCAAAAAAAAGGTATTTTAACTTGATTCTTTCTTCCATGAAACAAGTTGTGCCATATTTTTATTCAGAAAGTTTGAGGAAGACTTAGAACTAAGAGTTCTAAGAATGTGGATTCAGTATAGTGTTTACTTGCCCAAACTGTTGAGTTCATTGTCCAGAAATGAGCATATATTTCACTTGGTAAGAAGCTAGAGGGCGCCCATTGCACACGGGGACTTCAGGCTCTGGGACCACATTTGCTTCAATTGGCAACAGAGTGTGGCTCACAGCATTTCTTCCTCCACATCTGAGGTCAGTCAGGCCTCATCTGGAAATTCATCGCCTGCCAACATTCATCCTATAGAAATGGACAGAGTGCAGCTACAGGTGCGGCGCCTCCAGCCTCCATCCCTTCCCTGGCATTTCATATTGCTGACTGTACAGTTTTGTCAGGATTTATTGAGAATTCCACTTATTATTATTATTTTTGGTCAAGCATGGTGATATAAGAGTGATTCTTTTTTTCTTTATCTTATTTATTTATTTATTTAGACAGGGTCTCACTCTGTCACCCAGGCTGGAATGCAGTGGTAAGATCTTGGCTTACTGCAACCTCAGCCTCCTTGGTTCAAGTCAGCCTCCTGAGTAGTTGGGATTACAGGTGCTTGCCACCATGCCCGGCTAATTTTTGCATTTTTAGTACAGACAGGGTTTTACCATGGTGGCCAGGCTGTTCTTGAACTCCTGACCTCAAGCAATAGGCCCAGTTCAGCCTCCCAAAGTGTGGGGATTACAGGTGTGAGCCACGACGCCTACCGATTTTTGATAACGTGGGACACCTTGATCCAAGTGGAGCCCACTTAGAAGTGCAAAGGTGAAGGCAGTGCTTACAAAATAAGCAAAACTATAAAAACACTTTAACACATTAAAATCTTCAAAGGCAGTACCCACTGTAATTGCTGTAAGAACTGCATGGGGGTAGTTATGATCAGCACGTGCCAGTAGATCCTGGGGATGAGAGAGACGAACTGGCTCACTCTAAGTCACACAGTAGTTACTGGCAAAGCAGAGATGGGACTTCCAGTCCCTAGATGCAGCTGGAAATTCATGAAATTGAGCCCTGGCACCACTATTGGCTTAAATTGGTGGTAAAAAAATCAGTTCTCATAATTCTCAACTCTCCAGACAATAGCATTTTGGGGAAACACAAAAATGTCCTTAGAGTTTCTAACAATCGAGTTTGTGAAACATTTTGCTAAGTAAAATGAGGCATTTAAAGAGTTTGAGCTTTTCATGTTTCAGACCCTTTACCTGTGCTATTAACCCTATTGTATGCAAGAATCATAGCTGTTCAGTTTAGTCTACAGCCTCATAAAATTAAATAGCAGACTAGCAGAGTGGCGGAGAGTCAGACTTCCTGTGTTGCTGGTTTGGGTGAGCCTTTACCTTTTTTTGCCTCAGTTTTATCATCTGTAAAATGGGGATAATAACAGAAGGTACCTCACTGGTCCGGGATGATTAAGGTAAGTGGACAGCCCTTAGTACCTGGCACAGCTTAGACACTTGGTAAGCATCCGCAGTTACAGTGAACTCAGGATTATTCCAAGAAGCCTTTCCTGACCTTTGTACACTGTTAGGTGCTCCCATGTCTGGCCCCTCTCAAGGTTTATTTTCACTTCTGTTATAGTGCTTATTATCTTTAATTAAAATAATCTGTTTTCATTTCTTTCCCATCCATTAGGTTTTCAGATGAGGTCTCGCTCTGTTGCCCAGGCTGGTCTGGAACTCCTGGGCTCAAGCCATTCTCCTGCCTCAGCCTCCCCTAAGTCCTGGAATTACAGGCATGAGCCACTGCACCCGGCCTGAGGTTTTGAGATTTTCGCGGTTGTTGTTATTTTTTAATTTTCATGCTTATTTCACCAGTTTTGGGGGAACAGGTGGTGTTTGGTTGCATGGAAAAGTTTTTTAGTGGTGATTTCTGAAATTTTGGTGAGATGTTTATGGGCAGAAATCTTTCCTTATTTTACTTCTTGCTGGAATCTACCACATTATCTGAGCAAACCAGCAGCAGTTTAAAGCAAATCCCAGCCCCTCCTGTCAAACTTCATTCCTAACTTGAGTCCATCATGCTTTACATTGCACGCCAACCACTTTCGGTGTTTATATATTCATAGGGCTTATATATGGTGTCACGATAATCGTATTGAAAATAATATGACAGAAAGAAGCCGGGGGAGGTTCAGCTTGCTGCTTGGCGAGTGAGGAGGGGAAGAGGGCCCCGGTGAGCGGCTCAATAGCCATGGGCATCTGCAGGCAGCACCTGGACGGGGCGGAGTTTGGGCTGGGGTAGATGGGAAGAGAAATCCAGCCCTGAGATTTCCGCACACCCAACCTCTCTGGGGTTCCTGTCTTGAGGCAGAAGGTGACCCAGAAAAGAGTTTGGGAAAACTATTTCATACACATAATGCTTAACCCATATGGAAAATAAACCAGATTAAAACTATCAGAAAGTATTGTATTCTAAGTGACTAAAGATAAAACATTTTGTTTCCGTAAAATCACAATAATTCAAGGATAGAGCTAGGATATTTTCCCCTACTATAATCTTAATAAACAATATTCTCAGTTATTTTACCATTTAAATTTGCAGTCCACCTGTGGTACATCAAACTCTTTTTTCCTAAGTCCCTTTTAACATTATAAGCCAGTGTAACATGAGAAAAATGTTGGAAGTTTGCTAAATATGTTAACTCATTCTGTAAGGCTAATGAAATATTAGAGGATTTTGGGGGAAAGATATTTGCTTATATTTTTTTCACACAATTTCAAAGATGAGTTTTTGAAGACTGACTAAAAATGTAATGCCATCATAAATGAAATGATGATTCTGTGGGAACACTCCAAAAACATTCCTGCTGATCCATGGGCTTAGTGAAAGAGATTGGGAAGTCTATTTAGACTGAAAATGTCTTAAAAGATATATTTTACATCCCACATATGCATACTATCTTCCAGAAATACTGCATATGAAAGCTGAATGCAATATTTAGTGTCTGCTGACTTGTGGCAGTGGCAAACCTCAAATACAGTAATACTGCAAAATAATTCAAATTGTGTGTTAATTCACCCACAAAAAAATCCATTTTTAGCTTTTTCCACAGAATATGCTAAGCTAAAGGTCATTATGTAACATTTCTAAAAAGAAAAACAAAAGCCACACATTTTTCTGGCACCTAACACTGGCAATGGAGGATAACGTTGCCTGACAAGGGAGTAGGTTATTTTATTTATTTTGGCTGAGATTAGAACTGAAGCCAGAATTAGCATTTTGCTGAAAAAATAAAGCTTTCTGCATTCAATATGGGCTTTTAGATTCAAAGATTCCATAAAAGGGGAACTTTGGTAAGCAAGAACTGTACATTTGAGAAATCAGTTTTACCTTCTCACCAGCTTTGTGACCCAAAACAAGTTACTTCTTTGAGCTTCTGTTTCCTTATCTGTAAAATGGGTAAACACTAACTTCATCAAATCCCTTCATCAAATAATTTGGAGGTTTACTTGCTAGGATGTATGACAAGTGTCTTATCCAGGTTGGTACTACATTTTATTTTATTATATTTCATTTCATTTCATTTTTTTTTGAGATGGAGTCTTCCTTTGTGGTCCATACTGGAGTACAGTGGTGCGATCTCGGCTCACTGCAACGTCCAACTCCTGGGTTCAAGCGATTCTCCTGCCTCAGCCTCCCAAGTAGGTGGGATTACAGGCACCTGCCACCACACACAGCTAATTTTTCTATTTTTAGTAGAGACAGGGTTTCACCATGTCGACCAGGCTGGTCTCAAACTCCTGATCTCAGGTGATCTCCCTGCCTCGGCCTCCCAAAGTGCTTGGATTACAGGCATAAGCCATCGCACCCAGCCTTTTAAAAAAAAAAGTTAGACCTGAAGAGAAAATATGAACTCTGGAGAAGTTATAATATTTGCAATGTCGTAGTGGTAGGATAACAAAATAAATGCAGAAGAGGGATTAGAAAAATATAAGGGTGCCACATACATCAAGGCAGTAAATAGCAGGCAAAAAAAAAAAAAATGTAGCCACCTCCAGTTGCATGTTACACCGGAGTCATGGTATACCTGTGCCAAATGACATCACAGGCTCTGGTCTATTTTATTTGAGGTTTTATTGATACCTAGCAAGAAAATGTCTCCAGAATTATTGGAGAGATGAAGCAATTGACAGCTATATTTATACTCAGTTATGTGATTCAGATGAAAACCATGACGCAGAGCATGGTGTCTGGTTTTGAGTACAGCTGTTAAAAGCAAATTGGTTTGTCAGAGCCAGTTAATGAAGTTAATGCTTTTCTCACAAAGAGAGAATAACTAATGAGAAAATAAGCATTCTAAATCCTATGTGATCAAAGCAATGCAAAAAGTGCTGCTTCTGCTGGATCTTACGCAGCTCTGTTGGATAAACACGGCCCTGAGAGTCAGCAACGGCTGCATGCCTGGTGATTCGAGGCCAGGTAGGTCTTCCACTGCGTATTCCCGTGGCTTCGCTGGGGGAAGCCATGCTTTTGTCTGAGCACACCCTGATGGAGTCTTCGAGGAAGAATGAAAGTAATGCAAATCAATGCTTAATTTGAAATGTTTATAGAATAGTGTCAGATAACAGTAGGTCCGAGAAAAGCCCAGGCCACGAAATGTTCAGCAAGTTTTCAACTTGAAAACTAATCTTTTTAATCAGAGTCAATTAAAACTAGTCTGTAATAACATACAGTTCCAAATTCTGGAATATATGACTATTAGCCTTATAGCAATTAGTAATATGACTTTTAATAACAATAACAATAATAGGAATAATCACAAAACAGAAAAGCTATATGCAATATTACATTGCCCTACAGAATTAGCACAACTTTCTTTATATAATAATCTCTCATTTTAGCATTTATTAAGTCGCATCTTTAACAGCATTTATAAAAAGATAAGCATTTTACCAGATGGATAATTTATTTCTAAAAATACCTACTGTATTTTGTCAGTTTCCTCTAAATCAAATATTTTAAATTATATTTCCCTTTAATGCTGATATATAAATAGTAGTCTCATGACAGAAAAGTACAAGAGGACCCAAATTGTAATACAGTTTTACATATAAATGCATATTTGAAAATAGTTCACATTTCCCTATTTTGATAGAATTTTCTGTCTTTGATTGTCTAAGCAGGTTTAAATAACCCACTATTGATGTTTAATATAAGACCGTGCTCAAATTTGTATGATATGTTAAGAGAAATGAAAATGATAATCATGATATGCCATTTCTCATTTTTCCAATAAGTAACATTTTACATTTTTACACAGTTTTACAATTTCTCCCTGAGAGTCTGGAGAAACTGGCACTCTGATGCACTATTGTGCAAAATGCAAAAGGTGACACCCCTTGTGAAAGGAAATTTGGCCGCATGTTAATAAAATGATACAGGTGCTATGATCTGACACAGCAGATAAGTTCCAGGAATCTATTCAAAAATATATGCTGTTGAAAGTAAAAGTGGCATATACTCAAAACTTTTTATTCTGGCATTAGTACAAATAAAAGTATAAATAAATAACAAAGTACAAATAAAGGAATAAATAAATAACCTGTACCTATTCTCAGTATCCACTTGTGCAGCCACTAAACGGCAGGATATCCACAACAGTGTCCGATGCTGCTGTAAGAAGGAGAATGCAATATCTCTGTATACAATATCATGACATGTGAGATTTGTTAAGAGAAAAAGACAAGGTAGAGAAAGTACAAGAAGGATGCACCTAGGCTGAAACTTCACGTATACAAATGGCTGAGAGTATCCATACCTATATGTATATATATGATTAAATTTAAAATTGTAAGGATAAATTTAAAAAATACAAGCAAATAAATATTACACACAGGAAATGGGAAGTTGTGTGTGCTGAAAACAGGGAGAAAACTAGATTTTTTTTAATAGAACATGTTTGTAGATTTTATTTAAAATATGTGTATATGGTTTCACATAATTATGAATAGGTTAAAATGAAATGCAAAAGCATCGTTAAAAATTTGCAGTCAAATAAAACAAATCTCCTTACTTACTGAGTTGCGGTTTATATATACAGAAAGGAACCTTGTCAAGTGAATCTTGAACATGGTAATCAGATTTACTGACTTAGTGGGGCACGCCCTATGAAAACACTGAGGAAATTTTCAGCTGTTTTCAAAAATAATGTTAATAATGGTGGCATTGATATTCTGAAACTTTTATTTATTTTAAGATAAAACAAATAATTACATCAACATTGTTAAGATCTAAGTTTCTCAATTCTTATTATAAACATCAACAACAAAGAGTTAATTATAAAAGTAAAGAAGTAAAAGCTCAGTAACCCTAAGTTTGAATTGGAAGCAGGAGTGTGAACTCACGATGTATTTCCTTTAAAGAAAGGGAAAATATTTTTATAGCTCCACTGAAAAGTCCTAGAAGCATGAACTAACCTATTAACAATGAGTACTACTGCGATCATTTAGATTATTGTCTCCAAATACCTTATTGTAAATAAAGAGATCAGGGCTCCTCAGAAAATGGCTGAATCAAGGTCTTTGGCAAATCATGAACAGAATGATTTGGAACTATATTATAATTTCACAGAACAGAGATGCTATCTTGGATGACTTAGGGTTAACCTACGAGTAACTTGGAGAGCTCTTACTGTTACAAGATAAAAAATTTGAACATCGAAAGAATGATAATGGCAATGGATTGAAACACATATACTTCATCAAAATCTTTAAGTTTATAATGATTGCAAAGCAAATCTACAAGCAGATAAGCAAATGAATTCTATTGTTCATCCTTGGAAGACGCTACAAAAGTAACTTGTTATTCTAAAAATAGCAATAAATAAACTAAAATAAGATACTTTCTCTATAACTACATATTATTTTTCAGATAACAAATAATTGACTTCCCCCTGTGATTTTGGTTAAAATTAAATTCATTTAAATTATTTAAAAATTGTTAAAATGTAGTTATTGACTATGTTATTGATATTTCAAGCAGTTCTTTATATACCTTATATAGATTATACTGCATTATATAATTTTCAAAGTTGTTATATATGGGAGATTATGTTTTTAATATTGTATCTTCTACCCTAGTCCTATAAGAGAGAAAACACATAAAGAAATAAATTGGCCAGGCGTGGTGGCTCACGCCTGTAATCCCAGCACTTTGGGAGGCTGAGGCAGGCAGATCACGAGGTCAGGAAATCGAGACCATCCTGGCTAACATGGGGAAACCCCGTCTCTATTAAAAATACAGAAATAAGCCGGGCGTGGTGGCAGGCACCTGTAGTCCCAGCTACTTGGGAGGCTGAGGCAGGAGAGTGACATGAACCCGGGAGGCGGAGCTTGCATCGAGCTGAGATCACACTACTGCACTCCAGCCTGGGCAACGGAGCAAGACTCCACCTCAAAAAAAGGAAAGAAAGAAAGAAAGAAATTGTACGTGGATGGAGTTGGAGGTCATAATCCTAAGCAAGCTAACACAGGGACCGAATACCAAATACCACATGTTCTCACTTATAACTGGGAACTAAACACTGAGCACACATGGCCATAAAAATGGGAAAATTAGACATTTCAGGCTACTAGAATGGGGAAAGAGGGAGGAGGGGAGGGGTTGAAAAACTACCTATTGGGTACTATGCTTACCACCTGGATCCAATATACCCATGTAACAATCCTACACCTGTACCCCGCTGTATCTGAAATAAAAGGCAACATTTAAAACAATAACAAAAATATTAATGAGTTGTAAATACTCTGGCAAGAGAGTAAAGGTGAATGAGTGAAAACAAGTTTCAATTGATAAACCATCCATGCAAAGGCAGAGGTTTATAGCAAAAATTGCTTCAAAGTAAGCCAGAGAGTAGGGAAGAAAAGGAAAGCCATATGAGTCGGGCTGGCCTCCTTGAGCATCCTTGGGCGTCCTTCAGCATCCTTGGGGCCAGGCCCACGCAGAAGGTATTTCTTTCTGAGATAGCAGGTGTGCTCTATTAAATTGTGCTCCCTAGCGAATGCTTTCTCTTTTCTGATGATATCAGCTCAAAAGTTCTGACAAATGCCATTAAGATAGCTTAAGATTGTGTACATGTGTACATAATCTGTTGAGATAATTGTGTCCTTACATATGCCTGAATTACAATATCTATAAATTGGAAGACTGTTCTGTTTATCCACAAATGTTATACCTATAGACTGACAAATCTGCCCTCTTGTAGTGTATTTTATATTTATATATATAAATATGTATATTATATATTAATATATGTGTATGTATATTATATTCTAGCTATTGAATTACATATATTTATTTATACACATACATACACTCCAAAAGGGCAGATTTGTCACTTTATAGGCATAAAACTTTATATAAATATAAAATATAGAAGCACAGAAAAATTACAGTGTACTTTTATTAAAATACTCCCACTGTAATACTATTGCTAATTCCATTGTATTTTTAGGTTTTTCTCTCTGTGAGTCATTTGTAAACTTTTTGATGATGTTTTTAAAAATCTTCAGTTTGCAATGACATCGTTTTGGGGTCTGCCAGATCTTCATCATTAGTGGGTTATTTTCTTGTTTAACATCCTCTTCTCGGATTGGTTAATAATTTAGGTAAACTGAAAAAAAAATTCCCAAGAATATTGTGTTCCCAAAAGGTCTGTACTATGTTCTTCAAGAGTGGGTTGATAAACTCCAAGAGCATAATAGGAGGATCTAGGCCTCTGCCCATCAGGGCTCACGTAGATTAACAGCAAAAGTCCCCTTTTTTGTCCGTCCATCCTGGTCATATGGATCTCACAGCTCTGGGATCAAATACAGAAGCCTTTCCAAATGAATTAACTCTAAACTACTGATAATCCTTGGCTTTGTGTCATGACAACTTGGCTTCCTCAGCATGATATTTGGGAGCAAGCGGCCGTCTCTACCAAAGTCTTGCTTCTTGGAGCACCACTGAGCTCTTTACATGTTTAAAATGTAGTACTACGATGACAAATGCTACCACGTGGGTACACCCTGAAAACATTAGCTGGGTGAAAGAAGCCCAGTCACAAAATGCCATATGTTGGATGGCCATTTATATGATGTATCTAGAACCAAAAAATCTTTTGACGCAGAAAGTAGGTGAGTGGTTGCCTGGGATCTAGGGAGGAGAAACTCCGGAGTGACTGTGAGTAGGGGTGCAGGATTTCTTTTCCAGAGTGACTGTGAATGACGGTGCAGGATTTCTCTTCCGGAGTGACTGTGAATGCAGGTGCAAGATTTCTCTTCCGGAGTGACTCTGAATGGGGGTGCAGGATTTCTCTTCCGGAGTGACTGAATGGGGGTGCAACATTTCTTTTCCGGAGTGACTGAATGCGGGTGCAGGATTTCTCTTCCGGAGTGACTGATTGGGGGTGCACGATTTCTCTTCCGGAGTGACTGAATGGGGGTGCAGGATTTCTTTTCTGGAGTGACTGAATGGGGGTGCAGGATTTCTTTTCAAAGTGATTGAATGGGGGTGCAGGATTTCTCTTCCGGAGTGACTGAATGGGGGTGCAGGATTTCTCTTCCAGAGTGACTCTGAATGGCGGTGCAGGATTTCTCTTCCAGAGTGACTGAATGGGGGTGCAGGATTTCTCTTCCAGAGTGACTCTGAATGGCGGTGCAGGATTTCTCTTCCGGAGTGACTGAATGGGGGTGCGGGATTTCTCTTCCGGAGTGACTGTGAATGGGGGTGCAGGATTTCTCTTCCAGAGTGACTGTGAATGAAGGTGCAGGATTTATTTTCCGGAGTGACTGAATGGGGGTGCAGGATTTCTCTTCTGGAGTGACTGAATGCGGGTGCAGGATTTCTCTTTCAGAGTGACTGAATGGAGGTGCAGGATTTCTTTTCTGGAGTGACTGTGAATGGGCTTGCAGGATTTCTTTTCTGGAGTGACTGTGAATGGGGGTGCAGGATTTCTCTTCCGGAGTGACTGTGAATGGGGGTGCAGGATTTCTCTTCCGGAGTGACTGAATGGAGGTGCAGGATTTCTTTTCTGGAGGACTGTGAATGGGCTTGCAGGATTTCTCTTCCGGAGTGACTGTGAATGGCGGTGCAGGATTTCTCTTCCAGAGTGACTGTGAATGAGGGTGCGGGATTTATTTTCCGGAGTGACTGAATGGGGGTGCAGGATTTCTCTTCCGGAGTGACTGAATGGGGGTGCAGGATTTCTCTTTCGGAGTGACTGAATGGAGGTGCAGGATTTCTTTTCTGGAGTGAGTGTGAATGGGCTTGCAGGATTTCTTTTCCGGAGTGACTGTGAATGGGGGTGCAGGATTTCTCTTCCGGAGTGACTGAATGCGGTGCAGGATTTCTTTTCAAAGTGATAAAAGTTTCTGAAAAGGGATTATGATGGTGGCTGTAAAACTCTGCACATATACTAAAAAGCACCAGATTGTATACTTTTAGAGAGTGAATTTCATGGTATGGGAATTGTATCTCAAAGCTGTTATTACAAAAATGTTTAAAAGAAGTGCTGATTCTGACAAACTAGATAAGCACACAGAGCTAGCGTGGGGCCATGGTGCACCATGAGGGCCTGACGAGCGCAGAAAGCTCGCATCTTACACTTATACAGGACTTTACATCTGGCAAAACACTTTAACATGTAGTTACACCTTCCTTCCAACCTTCTGGGGGTGTGTAGGGCAGGTGACGTTATACTTATTATAGGGATGACAAAAACAAAGCCACATAGATATTGTCAGTAACCAAATTACTCACCGAAAGCAATCAATAGAGTTGAGATTAAAACCCAAATCATCTGACTTCAAGACTTTTTCCAATACCCAAGATACAAATTATAGACTCTGTTCTTGAAGCTTATGATTAAATGACCTGAATACATTCCACGGCACATCGGGTTTAGTTATTTTTGTTGTTTTAATTAATGGATTGTCATATGGCCTGTAAGGAGATCATCTATCAGTGTGGCTAAAAATGGCAAAACAACTGTACGTCACTGATTACATGGCGATATATACATTTGGTGACAGATCCTACAAAAAATGTCCTACTCACACAGTTAAGTTACATATCTGTATTCTACTCGCGATGATTCAGCCAGGTTAATCAGTTTTATAGTAACAAAAAATGATAGAGTATCATACAATCAACGTAATCCAACAGAGAGCGGCAGAGAGGATGGGGTGGCAGTTCATGTGATTTGCCTCACATCTTGGTGCCGGAGGGTATGGCTCAGATACTAGGTCTGTCTTTTTGTGTGCATGCATTACTTAACGAAGCTCAGCTGTAGTTCCGGTATAATGGGATGAATGAGGCTGACTTTACTTCTTTGTGAAAAGGAAATAAGGAAAAGAAAGCGCTGCCTATAGTAGAATGATTTATAATCCTTTGGCTATGGGATTGCTGGGTCAATAGCAAAGACTTGGAAGCAACCCAAATGCCCATCAGTGATATACTAGATAAAGAAAATGTGGCACATATACACCATGGAACACTATGCAGCCCTAAAAAAGAATGAGTTCATGCCCTTTGCAGGGACATGGATGAAGCTAGAAACCATCATCCTCAGAAAACTAATACAGGAACAGAAAATCAAGTACCGCATGTTCCTCACTCATAAGTGGGAGCTGAACAATGAGAACATATGGGCACGGGGAGGGGAACATCACACACTGGGGCCTGTCAGGGGGTCGGGGGAAAGGGGAGGGATAGTGTTAGGACAAATACCTAATGCATGTGGGGATTAAAACCTAGATGATGGGTTGGTAGATGCAGCAAACCACCATGGCAAATGTATTCCTATGTAACAAACCTGCACGTTCAGCAAGTGTATCCCAGCACTGAAAGTAAAAAAAAAAAAAAAAAAAAAAAAAAAAAAGCACTACCTGTACGATAAACTGTGAACAATATTTGCTTATTTAAATCCGGATGATGAAGACACAAAATGGAGCATGGTATGCAGTCACAAATAACAATGGCAGGCCTGGCGCGGTGGCTCGTGCCTGTAATCCTAGCACTTTGGGAGGCTGAGGTGGGCAGATCACAAGGTCAGGAGATCGAGACCATCCTGGCTAACACGGTGAAACCCCGTATCTACTAAAATACAAAAAACTAGTCGGGCGTGGTGGCGGGCACCTGTAGTCCCAGCTACTCTGGAGGCTGAGGCAGGAAAATGGCATGAACCCGGAAGGCGGGGCTTGCAGTGAGCCGGGATCTCGCCACTGCACTCCAGCCTGGGTGACAAATCGAGACTCGGTCTCAAACAGACAAACAAAAATAAATAAAAATAAAAAAATTAAATAAATTTAAAAAAAAAAAACAATGGCAGCAGCATGGGCAGCAACCTGACGGTAACCTATGCACGAATTTTGATTTAAATGAAAAATTTGTACCTAAAGATTTTCTACGGCAGCAGTTCTGAAACTTTTGCTGTCAGGACCGCTTTATAGTCTGAAAAATTTGTAAGAACCCCATAGTAGGATTGCCACATATTCTATGAATTATACTTACACTAAAAACTAATTTGCTGTTAATATGGAATTTAACATCCTGTTGCAATTTTGTGGTTGTCTTTTGTCTTTGTTAAATCTGGCAACACTGCCCCCAAGGAGCTTTTGCTTATGTAAGTTTTATCTACTTATATTTACCCTGTCAATAATGAAGACAGAGGCATTTTTAGAAATTTATTCATAATTAAATAATAGTTATAAATCATTAAATTTTATGAGTTGCATATTTATAAGAAATAACATATTTTTAAGGAAAGTAATTTTTTTCAGAAGAAAACAATTTAGCCAGAGAAGTGGTATTGATTTACATTTGAGCAAACATATTAATGCCTGCTTTAACAGCAGACAGCTGGATTCTTGTAATTTTTTTTGCATACAATCTGTTGTAATGTTGTGCACTATGTACCTTTTGGAAAACCACATTGTCCACTCCGAACAGAATAAGAAAGGGACAAGTGACTTCTCAATATTGTCCTGATAAGAGTTTTGACCTCATGGCTTCTGAGAGTACCTCAGGGATCCCCCAAAGGGTCCCTGGAACATACTTTGAGAATCACTGTTTGGTGGCTTCTGATTTGTTACTCATGAGAGAGAGTTCTTTATCCTCTGATCAACTTTTCAGATCATCATTTTTTAAAAAAACACCGTCTCACATATATCATCACAAAGAAAATGATTTTACAAACGTCACCTTTTGTTAATAAATCTCACAAAGACCTAACAAAAATACAGTATGTTCCCTGGGGTATTTTAGATGACTCCTTGAACTCAAGCTAATCCCGTCTCAAACATGGAAAGCTTAAGACATTTTTAGTACTATACCTTTTCTTAGGACACTTCTTAAAAGACAGAAGTTTTCATGGTGTGTGTGTGTGTATGAGAGAGAGAGAGAGAGAGAGAGAAAGTGAGCTCTTATGTGAAAATTCAGCAGCATTCTCATCTTACTTAAACATTTTTTTGACCTACAAAAAGCTGTACATAATTAATATATACATTGGAGAGTTTGTGGGGTGTACACCATGAAACCATTGCTGCAATCTATGCCATAAACCTATACATCAACACTAAAATTTCCTTTTGCTTTATGTTTATTGTTATTTTGTGATACAAATAATTAACATAAGATCTACCCTTTTAGCAAATGTAAGTACACAGCAAAGTATTGTTAACTCTAGGCGCCATGCTACACAGCTGACCTCTAAGTCTTACATGATTCTCATTTTATGGAGTATTTTCATATCTGTGGTAGATATGGTAAAAGTCCACATGTGTTTTGCATATTCCACTTACCTTCTGGCATGATTGAGAGTCTTGGAATGTCTTTCTGTGACTTCCTGGATCCCACCTTCTTTATTCCTATAAAATAACTTTTGTTGTTGCTGTTCATGGATGGCTCTCTAGAGAGGTAGGGATTAATTGGACTTGTGGGGCTACTCCTGTCTAGATATTGTCTTATCACTGAAGATGGAACAGAAAGTTGGAAACAGCAGCCATGAACCAAGGAATACAGGTCAAAAACAAGGACATTGAGAAGTATTTAGAAATAGTCCTTAAAAGGATGAAAGTCAGAACCAGAACACAAAATGCAAACCCATCTGAAGCATATGCTGCTGAATGTGGTGGGAAAGGCTCTAGGCTTTGATGCATGTTTTCCAAAGCACTGACATGATCCCACACCCAGGGCTCTGAGTGAGAGCCATGGATTCTATAGAGACTGAATACAATCCAGAGTGCCCTGGGCCAGTCAGCACACCCTCAGGAAGCAGGCACGCCCTGTAGGTTGCCTTATCTTCCCCTGTTAAGTCTGATTTCATAGAACTAAGACGTCATTCCATTTAAAGACACAGGCTGAAAACTTAATCTTTCTAACTTCTGCATTAGACTTTCCAGGATTCATCAGTAAAAAGAATGAATAGCTACGATTGTAGTGTGTCTAAAGTCATGTATATGATGCATTTCATTATCAGTGTACCTATTAATAGAAAGAAATGTACTGTATAAAGTTCCACTCTCTGCTATGTACTTTCAGTATTCAAATTTTATCTATAGTTCTGGGATCTATGGCTGCAATATGGGGCCCTACCAACTTCTTAAGCACAAGATGCATCTTTGTACAAAAGAACACTTATCTCTACAAACACCTGCTGGTACGGATAACCTGCGTTTTGGAAAAGTGATACTCATTCTTTATATCTTGACACTGACAACTCACCAACTTTGCAAACAGGATCTGCCAGAAGGATAGGTAAAGGCAATTGCATGGCCTAAAATAAGTTCAGAAAAAAGGTATAAAATGACCGTATAAAAACAAATTTTACTTTCTGGTGAGATTTTATTGTTTTTTGGGTAAAGGGCAGAGGAAGACTTATATAACAATATACCAGCTACACAGCTCATTCCTGATCATATAAATGCTACAAAAAAGACTCCTAATGCTAATGTTTGATGTAATTACAGCAACCCAACTGGCCAAAACAACTAAATCTGATTTGGGAAGCATCTAGGAAGAATTATATGTGCACTTATGTCATTGGGTAACTTAACTTTCTTGAAAAATATCTTAAGTAAAAGCAAGTTAGAATCCTCCGAAGCTTCTGAAAAAAATTATGTCTTGGATCCAGACACACAAAGAAAGGGAAAGAAAAATATGAAATATTATACAGCTCAATAGCTCTATAAAGACTTTGTAAGTAAGAGGATGTGGATAGATGGTATCTACAGTTGGGTTAGAAGCCATTCCCTGAAAACCAGGATTGTCTAACCTTGACGAAGTCATGTTTGATCATTCACAATAGTCTTCTGGAATCATGGCTAAATATCCTATGTCTTCTTGGGGGGAGAAAAAAAACATTTGTCGATTAAATTTATTCTCCAGGGTTAGAGTATCTTGAAAGAAAATTCAGGTTGTGGAGAATCATAGTCCCTGCTAACGTAACCTGTTATTTATCAAATATGAAAGCAAATTTAAGCAATGATAATTATAATAACCCTACGTTTCTGGTTTTCTAATACTTCTAGGATATTTTGCAAAAATTACACAATTTTTGTTAATTCCCAAGAGTGATGTCAAGTTGGTGAAAGAGACATGATCAGTGTTTACCAATGTGTGTGTCAGCTACCTTCGTAATAGACCACAACACAGTTCTATAATTCAGTTGGTTTCCACTGTCTTTTTCATGAGTGTGTATTCTTGCTTGCACAATAATTACCTGATGTAAAAAATCATCTAGCAATTATTTTATAGTTTTTTAGTACTAGGCATTTGCCCTTGGGCATACATAAGTAAGATGCAATTCTTGTTGAAGGAGGAGACCACGATCTTCATGGTCAGCGTGAACCTAATACCATAGTATTTTGCAAAAGTATTTCTGACATTAATACATTTCCTATTATGTAGAGCTTGGTAATTGCAAAGGATGTTTGCTTTATAATGGGAATCTCTTGTCTAGTATTATAATCAAATGTAGCGCATGAAATAATACTGTGAACTACAAAGTTTCTACTCAAAAATCACAAATGTTGGTTCTCTCTTAACAACACTTTCTCCCTTTTTATGTTCTTATTTTTAGTTTGTCTCATTTTCCAAATCTCTATTTAAAAAATGTGTCCCAGGGAAAATGAATAGCCTAGAGTAAAGATAATTCATCACCCGCTCCACTCCTTCTAGAGCTGAAACAGAGCTCCCCACTGTTTTCTGGAAGCAACGGGCAAAGGCAGCGTTCAGGACCCAGATCTATCATGGATATTCTGCCCCTGGTCTCAGGTGGTTACTAAGGCCTGCACTTATCATTCAATAAATGCATGTGGGACTGGAAGAATCACGATGGAACTGTGGACACATGTCAAGAGGGCCTCCTGGGAAGCCTGCTGCTTCTAGATAGTAATTGACATGTCCCTGTGTGGAATGCTGGCTATTGATTGTCCTTGTGAAATAAGCATTGCCCATGTGATGACGAGGTGACACCTGACCATCCCTAGCTTGGGAGACTTCTATTATTTTTTAGGTTGGTGCAAAAGTAATTGTGGTTGTGGCATTTAAAAGTAATGACAAAAACCGCTATTACTTTTGCACCAAATTCATACTTCATGTATAAACCAGATAATTACAATTTCTTATGTGCAATCATTTCCTTTAGGGGTTGCTACAAGGAAGAGTAAATACTGTTTTACTAGAGGAATGGCGCTAAATTGCTCTTACGACAAATCAATGTGTTATCTGCATAATTTGTAATATGTTACAGCTCATGGTTAAAGTAGAGCATTCCCATTGTTGGGAATGACAGTTGGTGGTTCAGCTGTGAGTGGAAGGGGAGTGTTAAGATTGGAGGTTTCTCACTCACTGTCTGCTGAGAAATCCCCATGCCGGGAGCCTTGGCCACATAGCTACCTACAGACCATACTACAGAGTGTTGTCTTTCCTTTCCTCTCTGTTCGAGTGAATGATGCTTTTCTCTAAAGGACCACTTCTTCCTTTTTTGTTGGTAGGTGGGGGTTGTGGCATAGAGGGAAGGTGGGAGCCTGGTCAACTTTTCCCAAATAATAATGTTGGAGTAGATTGAAAATTTAGCACTATGATCTGGATCATCTTTCAGAAAGGTTGATGTATTTGACTTGCAGTTTAATTGACATCGTTAACAGAAAATATTGAATGTCTTGATTCAAAATATAAACTGCAATTATTTTGCACAAACCTAGTAAAAAAAATACGTGGCAAGTTGTTCTGTGATGCCATCAGTTTTCTGATAGTGTGGCTTTGAATGTGGCAATGCTGTTAAAGTTTTACTTTTTAAGAATACTTAGAAGTCATGGTAAAATTAAAAGAATGAATTCCAATTTTTATTATATAAATTGTTGAAAATAAAAAAATGCACAATTTTGACTCACCGTAATTTACTGGATAATTTCTAAATACTTTGTCGATAGAATCATGTATGATAATTTGTTTGAAAGAATTTTAGGATCAAATATCAGATTTGGTTTTAAAAACTCTGGGCGTATTTATTGTCTAAGGAGATAAAGACATTTATTTCATCAACATGACTCACTATATGTAATAAATACTTCACTAGGTGGCACTGAAAAACCCAAACCAAACCAAAAAAAAAAAAAAAAAAGACCAAGTGTGATGAAAAATGGTCATGAAAATGCAGGGTTCATACCCTGCTGTCATGTTTTCCCATCACATATCCCGTGGGCTTCACCAACGTGGCCTCACTCAGCTGTCCTGTTTCAGCCACAAGCATCACCTACTATCTGTGCAGAAATCAACTCTTGAATACTAGTGTATATTTTCTGCTATTGTTTGAAAACAGAGGAATACATCTTCTTTCTATTGCGTTTTTCTTGCTTTTAACAGTAGAATAGTACCTTTTTACTAGCAGGTTGTTAACACATATTTGTCCACTAGATGGGTATTTCATTTTTTTTTTTTGAGTGTTGTCTTCATTCTTTATACACTTCAATGTTTAATATATAAATATATTTTAATTTCCCCCTAGCTTCCCCCACTGCTTTCTTTATACATACAAATATGATGCATAGGTCTGGATTTCCTTTTTAATTCAATGCCTGGGGAGTTTTTTCTTGGGACTATTCCAGAGTCTAGTTGTTCGTTCATTCTAAAAAACACAGGGAGGATTTACCACATCAGAAACTACATTTAATGTTGGAGATCCAAAACCTAACATAGGGACCCATTTGAGGAGAGCGTAGGAACTGCTGGCTGGGGAAACACCTGGACTTTCACAGAGCATTGAGGAGCAGAGCTGATTAGAAATAGCATCATGATTGGCTTTGTAAAGACCAAAGAAGGAGAAAGGAGTTGGAGGTCAAGATGGCACAGTTAAGAAACAGTATGGTTGACATGGTTTAATGGTAATGTGGTATTTGTATACATTGCTCTGCATACAATTATGTTATTTTAATATGCATTATTTTATTTATTTCCTACAAGAACTCCATGAGGTGTGAACAGGAGGTGTCAGCAGATCATTTCATAAGCAGACCTTTAGTAGACCTGGATTAGAGTTGCCTTCAGGCCCCGGACTGGAACCTTGGTTTTCTGACTTGCATTATTTCTTCTACCACACTAATATTCTGTTATTTGAGGCAACCACAATTGCATATTCTGTCTGCATGTGTGTGAGTGTGTGTGTGTGAGAGAGAAGGAAAACTAGCAACAGCCATCCTACACTCCTCTTATCATAACATATGTGTTTCAATATTTACTTTATTATGAGTTTTACACCTTCTGAACCAGTGTACTTAATACAAAAGTAGGAAAATTCATCTGGAATGAAAAAAACAACAGCTACAACAAAAAGTCACTTTGATGAAGCAGCAGCCCAGGCTGAGTCTATTATGTATACAGTTTCAGAACTGCAAAAGAGATAACGTAAAAACCAGGTATGGCAAATGATTTGAGGGTCAATCTATGTTTGTTTTTATATCCCTTGCTCCCACAGAAGACTGTGAACATGTCAAGTATTAAGGACCTATTTTGAATTACTAAATAGACGAGATCATTACCATTAGCAAAAATTAGCACCAAAGGATGTATAATGAGAATTATTTTGGCCCACTACCACCCACCAAAAGGTTGGAGTTTCTATATCTGTGAATTTTGCAGCTCTGCAGAGCTTATGAAAACCTGCTCATTTTGTCATTAACACAAGCCCTACTCCTTAGTACTTGGGGGACTTTGAACATGTTCTTAACTTTTCCATTTCCAGGTTCTTCCCTAGTAGAGCAAGGATAACAGCAATGTCCTTATTTGTAGGATCCTTAGGATTATGGAAGTAAGCTCCTGGAGAACACGTAGCCAGGGCATGGTTCCCTGAAAAGGATCTATTAGTGTGTGCTATTCTTACTGTTCTTATTTCTGCAGTCCTTGCCACATCACTGCTACCAGGACTCCTTCATGAAGGATGGAGTCCAACTCCCAGGCACGTGTGGATAGGGTAGGGGTTGGCCTGCTTTGGTAAAGTGAGATGATAACAGATCACACAGCAAGACGGGCTGCGGACAGAGAAGAAAATCCGAACCTATAGTCAGAAAGGGTCTGGTTCCACTTGCTAAATTCTGTCTCTTATCAAAAGACAGGTTTTGAAAATTATTGCAACAGAATTATCAGTTATGTGAGCTTTGAGAGTTCTTCATTTAAAAAGATACCTCAGATATTCTTAATTAATCCATTTTGTGTCTTGCCATTTTGTTCTGTAATTTCCTTGCTCATCTGATTGTGGGTGAGATTTGTAATGAACTTTCTGATACATAACTATATTATACCGTTTTAACGCTGCTGATAAAGGCATACCGGAGACTTGGCAATTAACAAAAGCAAGAGGCTTGATTAGACTCACAGTTCCACATGGCTGGGGAGGCCTCACAATTATGGCAGAAGGCAAGGAGGAGCAAGTCACGTCTTATGTGGATGGCAGCAGGCAAAGAGAGAGAATTTGTGCAGAGAACCTCCCATTTTTATAAATCATCAGCTCTCACGAGACTCATTCACTATCACGAGAACAGCCCAGGAAAGACTTGCCTCCATAGTTCAATCACCTCCCCCCAGGCTCCTCCCACAACACATGGGAATCATGGGAGCTACAATTCTAGATGAGATTTGGGTGGGGACACAGCCAAACCGTATCAATGACTCCAGAGGTTTTTCACAGTTCACTTGATTTTCAAAATTTAATAAAAACTAGGATACAAAAAGGCAGGCTATCTGGGAACTTTCATAATGATCCCTTAAAATGTACACATCTTCTCATGGTGTGCCTGCCATGGCGTGCAATTTGACCTGACAGTTTTCCCAGGAGCTAAAGCGCTGAGTTTTCTCCTACATGGAGCTTGAGTAACCATACAGTAGGCCACCCAGGTGCTTGGTTTTCCTTTCACACTTAAGTATCCAGTGAAGAGCTTTCTCTAATCTATGCCTTCTGTTCTTATGAGCTATGTCTATTGAAATGTTTGGCTTATACCAGAGGAGGGCAATAAAATAGGCAACTTTTCTTCGCAATAGGACCTGAGGGCCACCTTTTTCTACCATAAAGTTACCTTGCAATTCTGTTATTTTTGTCTCTTTATTTTTGTATCCATCAATGAAATAAAAAGCATTACTCTATCATATCATGTATCACTGCTATAGTAGACAAGAAGGAAACATTCATTCATTAAATCTTCGAAGTAGAATTTTCTTATATAAATGCATATTCTTCAAGAACAACATAAAATGCAGCAGGTATATGATTCTTTAAAAATACAAATAATACAGGCTATTATCGATGTTTTGTTTTGTTTTTTCTTTTTCTATTTTAGCCCTGCTTAAAGGTTCTTAAGGCTTCCCAGCTCATCTTCCCATTTCCTATCTTTACTCATTTATCTGGAAGGAAAATTCATTCTTCCTTCACAGCTATGTCTTGACCCCATGACACTATGACTATCATTCTGGTTCTTTTTTGTTACATTTTAGTATTTTTATATAGAAAACAATTTTTAATGTATATATTTATTTAGTTCTTTTTGTAAGTCACTGTTCATTTTGAAAATTGATGAACTTTGAAGAAACAGTTGTAGGGAAAATTGCAAAATCATTTTAGAAGAGGAACTCTTTAATATCTTTCATAAATTTTCTGACTGTAAGTAATTTTATATGCGATGGTTGAAACAGCAGTGGGCAACAGCAATATAATGAGCCATGAATGTAATTCCAAATGAGCAGCAGATTTAAAAATTCATAACTGATATGACTAATTTTAATAATGTTAACCCATGTGTCCAAAATATTTCAACATGTCATCAGCAATAAGTTATAATAGAGTCTATTAAAAGAAGTCTTAGAAACCTGGTATATACGTTATACTTACAGGGCACTCCAATATAATTTCAAATTTTCATTGCAATAATCTATATTTAAAATTCATAAATTAAATTTAATTCAATTAGAGTTAAATAATTGGAACAAAAGTTCAGGATTCTGACTTTCACATACAAACAAGACTTTCAGAACAAGTCTGTTCATGGCGTATCATTGCTAGTAGGGGGAAATAACTTATCTAAACCAAGAACTCCTGAGTTTGGCTCTGCGTTCGCCCCCAGGACATAACCACTCTGATTATCTGTTTAAAAATGGGGAGGTTTTCTGGCTTCTAAGACACCTATCGGGATGTCTTTCTCTGCTTTAGTACTGTGTGACCCATTTCATCTTCCCATGTCTTATTAAGATCCAAATTTCCTATCCACTACAAATGGAGATCTATGAAAGACATGATTTTGCTACCAGCTAGCCAACATTATATGAAGAAAAGTCGTCTTCTCTAGGCTGTGAAGTGTAATACCAAATTCATTGACTATTATCTACAGCAAATGTTCTACATTAGTCATGTGAAACTGAAGTTTGGGGAGTATTATTTTGCAACTATGTCCATGTGAAATCCCAAAAGCCCAGGTAAAATAAGAAATAGGACAAGAATCTTTCTGCCACGATATTGCATTTTTATGAGTTTGGAAACAGAGCCAAGCTTACTGATTTTAGCTCTACCACTTTGCTCTTTCAGATGAATGTATAAATAAAAACCAGAACATCATGACTAAATGCAATACTGTAAAATTATCTAAAGAGAAAGTTGAGTGTTAAACAAGCATAGAATTTATTCTAATTTATTTCTAAATATCCCTTCATAATTTCTCTGATAACCTTTGGTTGAATGAAAAATGTATACACACCACACACACACACACACACACGCACACACACACACACTACATAATGTAAGAGAATACATTACTGTTTGGAATTCACTTCCTCATGAACCAAATCTAGTGAATTTCGTCATCCTATAAGATCTAGCTCAGCCATATCCTCTTTCATAGAGCTATCCCTGGCTCCAAAAGGCAAGAATTTTTTTTTTTTTTTTTTTTTTTTTTTTTTTTTTTTTTTTGAGATGAAGTCTGACTCTGCTGCCTAGGCTGGAGTGCAGTAGTACAATCGCAGCTCACTGTAACCTCTGCCTCCTGGGTTCAAGTGATCCTCCTGCCTCAGCTTCTGGAGGAGTAGCTGGGATTATAGGTACCTGCAACCATGTCGGGCTAATTTTGGTGTTTTTAGTAGAGACGGGGTTTCACCATGTTGTCCAGGCTAGTCTTGAACTCCTGACCTCAGATGATCCACCCTGCTTGGCCTCCCAAAGTGCTGGGGTTACAGGCGTGAGCCACCATGCCCAGCTTCCCCTAGCAAATTTGATTAACTACTTTAAAAATTTTTATACATATATTAATTTTGAATATGTATTTATTTTTATGTTTACTTTTTCATTTTGATTCTTTTCTTTTTTATCATTTTTATCATTGAACCATAAGTTCATTCATCCATGCATTTAGGTACTCTTCCATTTAAAAGATATTTTATAGATTCCATATAATTTGCCAGGCCAGCATTGAGTATGCATTGAGAAGGCAACAAACTCATTCCTGTTCTTCAAAGATCTAGTAATTTATTAGGGAATCCTGACTGCAAGAGGTAAATAATTTAACACATTAATGCAAAATGTAAAATACTATTAGCGTCGCAAACAGTATGTTGTGATAAGGAATGAGATTAAATTGGTGGGAATGGACTCTTGTTCTAAAAGATGTGAAAAAACTAGCCATAAGGAGTGTTTGGGTAAAAAGAAATTATACTGTAGTGCAGCAAAAGAGAAAGTGGGGAGTCTCTTTGCAATTAAAAAAGGGAGAATGTGTCTATTAGGCTGATAAATTCTTTAACTCATGACACGATTTTATGGGGAATGTTTACTTGAAAACCTTTGAAGAGTATTGGCTCTGTATTTAGACCATGCCGAATAATCTCCTATAATTTACTTAGATTTTATTTTAATTATTCTATTTTTCCTCTTTTTTTAAATTTTATTTTATTATTATTATAATTTAAGTTTTAGGGTACATGCGCACAACGTGCAGGTTAGTTACATATGTATACATGTGCCACGTTGGTGTGCTGCACCGTTAACTCGTCATTTAGCATTAGGTATATCTCCTAATGCGATTCCTCCCCCCGCCCCCCACCCCACAGCAGTCCCCGGTGTGTGATGTTCCCCTTCCTGTGTCCATGTGTTCTCACTGTTCAATTCCCACCTATGAGTGAGAGCACGCGGTGTTTGGTTTTTTGTCCTTGCGATAGTTTTCTGAGAATATTAAAATATTACTGGTATGTTTTCATCTCAGTAAAGGATATCACGTTTATGTCTTATATGTTTCCCTCACACAGTCAAAAAATTAGTGTTCAATATAGTTTTTTATTATGAAGTCCTCATATTTTTAAGGAATCACAAATTGTCTTATGAGAAGAATCTTTTATCCTGAAGATGGAAGCTTTGCGCTTTTACCTCACTCTGCTGCTGCTGCTGGGCGTCGGATGCTGCTGTTTTGTGTCTGTGGGAGGGAGAAATGAAAAGGCCAGATTTATGACAACATGAGGCATTGAGTCAGCCCACATGAATATCATTCGTGCCATACTCTGTCTTCTTGTCTTATGGCAAGTTATATTTCCAGTAAAAACATAATACTGTAATTCAGAATGTTCCCCCTAGATTTTTGGATGATATTAGACATTTGAAAATCTTAATAAACCTTTCCGTGAGCTGTGCAGTATTTATCTTTCTTAAACAGCTTATGTATCAATTTAATGAGTATCAATATTGAATAGAACAGGTTTAGAATTTTATCATAGCTACCTGAAATTCATTAAAACATGGAAATGTCATATGTACTCTTAGACTGTTACTAGACACCCTACTCAAATGCAAATCTTATCAACTACAAAATACGTGTGGCTTTTGCATCTGACAACTGTTGAATATATGTTTGACAATCATGTTTAAAGTAGATTTTTTATTATTTACATTTAAGTTTGGCTTTGGTAGCCATTACTTGAAGCATTGAGATGAACTTTTTGATAAACGAGTTATTTAAAACTAAGTATTAGTATTTTGAGTGTTTGATTATTAACATATATTCATACCCATTTATTCAGTTTGAATAACTTCGTGGCTCTTAGGTGTTTAAAGGCTCGTGCATGTTAAATACATTATACATATTTGGTATTAACTCTGTAAAATGAAACTGCTGTAGAATAAAGCAGTAAAGGGAGTTAGAAATCAGTAGTTATTAAGCATTTAGTATGCCACAGTTATTGTTCCAGGAACATTATCTATGTGTCTAACTGAATGATCACATCTCTGTGAAATACAGACTCTTCTTTATTATCTGCGTGTTATAGGCGAGGAAGCCAGTGGTCTGGGAGATTAGCTGTTTAACCTATGACTGCACTGACAGCAAATTAGCAACTGGTGCAATCACATTCACAGCGGGGCCTGCCTGACCCTCACGACATACAGCTTTTATCACTACGTTAGTCTAAAATTACTCTCTGAATGATTATTTCATTGTTTATGTATAGGCCTTGATTGTAATATGATATCATTATGTCTCATAAACTGCTTGTTTTCTTATATGAATTAGTTCATACAGTAGGTACTTATAATCATGTTTTCCTTTATTTCATTTAAGCAGTCTTCTACAGGAAAAGCTGAAAACATAATTTAAATTTCTGCATTCACAGTAAAACACAGAAAAACAGAGATCTAAATAATTAGTCTTCCAAATCTTAAACTATATCTGATATAGTCCGTTAACACTGCTCTTAGCGTTTTCATCTTTCATAGTGAAAAGTAATAGCACATGAAATTAATAATTCTGAGTCATGAGATTCATATTCTTATAAAAATATTATATTATATTTGTATTCACCCTAGAGCTAGTATAAAGAAAAAAAATTGGCTATATCATGCTGAAAATAACCAAAATAAATATTTAATAAATACCTCCTGGGTTGGTCAACAAGAACTTTACATGAGTTGATCCAAATGCAAAGGGACCTTGTTGTTAGTAAGACATTGATTTGCAAAGACCCCAGGCAGTGTGTAGGGGTTGGAGGAATCTGGGGCTGATCATGGAAAAGATAAGAACTTGAGAGAGGCAGGATCACACAACAGGTTTTATCAGGCGATGCTTGCATGAGAAGGGAGACCCCATACAACACAAGCTCTTCCAGAGGCTTACGGCAGTGGCTGGGGGCCACACCAAGCAGGGGAGAATGGCACATCAACTCCCCAAGGAAGGGGGATCATAGAAGGGCCCGGGGTCCAGCCGTTGTCTCTCAGCAGCCTGGAGGGTGAGGCGTCTCTGGGGCAGAGGCCTTCCATGGACACCAGCAGCTTGGAGTCTGTGTTAGTCTCAGGCTGCCATGATAAAGTACCACAAACTGGATGCCTTAAAGAACAGAAATCTGTTTCTTCTTAATTTTGGAATCGAGAAGTCCAAGATCACGGTGTCAGTGGGGTTGGTTTCTCCTGAGGCCCCTCCTTGGCTTGCAGAAGGCCCCTTCTCTCTGGGTCCTCACGTGGTCTTCCCTCTGTGTGTGTCTGGGTTCTTATCTTCTCTTATTAGGAGGCACCAGTCATATTGGATTAGGGCCCCTGCATGACCTCTTTTAATCTTAATTACTCTCTAAAGAACTCAGCCCCCGGTACAGTCACATTCTGAGGCACCTGGGGTTGAGATTTCAACATAGCAGTTTTGGGAAGACAGAACTCAGTCCTCAACAGGATCTTACAACTCCAAAGTCTTATCTTATCAATGGGTAACAGCTGTCAGGTGAAGTTTTGCAGGGTATGCAAAGCAGGCAGGCTCTAAATGGCTACAAGTCTGCTAGTTTGGGCTATTTTTAAAATAATTGGATGTGTAAAATTTGAGTTTGGTGCCAGCAGGCTTATGAGCTAAAGCTCTCAGCCTGCAATGAAGAAATAAACAACCCGGGCATCAGTGCACACAGGCCGTCTTTGGCTCATTTATAAAACAGAGAGTTGCAGAGCACGTCCAGACTACCCTGGGCTCTACAGGGCTCATAAGCATTCACCCCAGCACTGCAGGACAGCCTCATCTTGCTTACCACAGGCAAACACCCTAGAGGGAATCCGTTCTCATTTTTATTTTGTTTCTGTTGTTGCTATTGATAAAATTTAGATGTCTCATGTAAGGCAAGTATATCCAGACTTGAATTTAACTGGGTTTATCCTTACTCAATTTTGAATAACTGTATGAAGTTTTTAATAAAACCGTGTATTTCTTTAAGCTCATATTTCTAGACGTTCTTTTAAATCCAGATCAGATATTAACTCTCCTCTGAAAGCGTTCCTGACTTTGTCAAGCAGACAAAGACGCCTCTTCATGGGTCCCATAAC
Source organism: Homo sapiens (assembly GCF_000001405.40). NCBI lineage: Eukaryota > Metazoa > Chordata > Mammalia > Primates > Hominidae > Homo > Homo sapiens. The sequence goes on along the minus strand of NC_000008.11, from coordinate 4,515,383 downwards.
ATTTAACATCTCTCTCCACTATGTCATGGCACCTATCAAGCGAGGCCATAACTATTGTTTATTTACATGTGCTATTTCTCTGAGTACATGAGCCACATCAGATCAGAGACTGTGGTCTCTGCATATAATTCCATTTCCTAGCAGAGCACCTAACGCGTAATAGAGACTCATTAAATATTTTTTAACTACTTAATGAAGAGAAGTTAGAAGCAGTTCCTAAACTCAGACATAATAACAGCCACACCACACCGACCAGTAAATTCCTTTCCAAGGGAGCTGCTGTAAATCGTACAAAGAATGGATTATAAAGTATCATTTGCCTTCTGGGTGTGGAGTGTAGTTCTGAAAGTGCTTCTTCTTTTGAGAATGGAAAGCTGCCATGGAAATAAAATGTAAATCATTTCCACTGAGGCTTAAAAGGCCAAAAATCTTGGGTGAGATATGTAATGAATGAGTCTGGATTCATATTGCTTACTCTGTTCTCGAGCCATCTTTGTTTTTGGTGTGGTTGTTTATTTTGGGGAGGAGGTAGACTTTCTCTACCTGTACAAGTTGGAAAACAGTAACAGCAGCCAGCACTAAGGTATGAGTCATGTAATCACCAGAGTGTGTATCTTCTTTATTCTCCACTGTTCACAATCATATTTGGAGGAAGTTACTAATAGCAGGTTTAATTTGTATCTATATTAGGTACCAGGTACTCTATTTATGTAGTTGAGGTCTACTTTTTTATTTAACAGGGCTGATGTTGCTTTTATAAAAACTTTAAAAACCAAGATACAGGAATGTAGATTAGGTCAAGCGGTCTCAGTAGCTAAGTTTTGAGTTGGAATTAGCGTCAGTTGTTTTGAGTTCTTTAACTCACGATGTTCCCTCTTCGTTGATTCCCATGTGTGCGTCACCTGGAGAATCATCAGGATGCTACTTAAAAATGCATATCAGGCTTTTCCTGTGGCATTCAGATCTGCCTTCTAGAATGGTATTGTGGACTGCCTGTGTCCCCCTAAAATTCAGGTATTTTACTTCTGATCTGCAGTATAGCCGTATATGGAGAGAGGGTCTCTAAAGAAGTAATTAAGGTTAAATGAGATAATAAGAGTGGGGCCTGATCCAAGGGGATTTATATCCGTATAAAAAGAAGCACAGACACCAGAGGAAACCTCCCCATCCCCTACTCTGCCTTATGAGGACACGGTAAGAAGGTGGCATTTTGCAAGCCAGGAAGAGAGCTCTCACCAGGAGCTCACTCTGTGTGAATCTTGATCTAGAACTTCAGCCTCTAGAACTGTAAAAAATAATAATAATAATAAAATAAAAATTTTGTTGTTTAAGCTACCTAGTTTGTGGTATTTCATTATGGCAGTCTGAGCTGACTAACACAAATGAGGAGGCTCTTTAGCTACAATCTAGGGTTAAAAAGAGTCCCAAGTGATTCTTTGGATCACTCAGGTTTGAGAAATTTGACATCACACTTCAAATTAGCAATACCTAGGAACCACTGATCACAAAAATCAGACCTAGAGAGGAAAATAATTTTATGGTTGTCAGAGCAGTACATCACAGAGAAAGCGTAGCTTAAGTAATATTCCCCAGCTGTACATAAGGAATAATTATTTTCATCGAAATTTATGTATTTTTGCCAAAGTAGCAAGTTTATGTGTGTGTATCTGTGGACTTTAAAGTCCCCCAGAAAATGAAATTACCTTTCTCAATTATGAGTACAAGTGCAAAGAACTCTTCCTTTAACTTCATTGTTTCATCTTCAAAATTTATCTTTTACATGCTCCATTTAACACAAATGTGCTTAATCAGTGTGTCACTTGATATGATTCTCTAGAAGATTTCATGAAACGAGAGTTCTTCTCTAACTTAAAGAGTAAATGTTACAGTCCGACATTTCATCTTTGTTGTGGGTATGAAAGAATTGGGATCTACTTTTAACATGCTTTGAACATGATCATTAGTAGAATTAAAATTTTACAGGTGCTACTTGAGGATTTCTCTTTAAATTAGCATCGCTATAGTAGCTTCGATGTTTGCTGCTTTATGTTTTACTAGATTTAGTTTTGTAGAGTAGTTTTAGGTGCACAGCCAAATTAAGGGGAAGGTTAAAAAAAATTTATATACCCCCTGTCCCCACACATACAGGATCTCCTTTATTATCAACATCCCCCCATAAGAATGGTACATTTATTACAATCAATGAACCTACTTTGACATATTTCGATTAACCAAAGCCCATAGTTTACATTGGAGCGCACTCTTGCTGTTGTCAATTTTATGGGTTTGGACAAAAGTTCAATAACATGTATCCATCCTTATAGTATCATACAGATAATTTTCATTGTTTAATTATCTGTGCTCTGCTTATTAATCCTTCTCTCCCTCAACTCCTGGCAATCACTGACCTGTTCACTGTTTCCCTAATTTTGCTGTTTCGAAAATATTACACAGTTGGAATCATATACTCTGTAGCTTTTTCAAATTAACTTCTTTCACTTGGTAATAGGTATTTAAAGTTCGAAAGAGCTGACAACTTGACAGTACTGAGGTTTTTTTTTTTTTAAATCCATGAACATGGGCTATCTCTTTGTTTAGTTATTTTTTTAATTCAGAGTTTTATAGAGTTCTTCATATACATTTTGTATGTATTTTGCTAGATTTATATCTAAGTATTTCATTTTGGGGTATGCTAATGTAAATGGTATTATTATATTTAATTTTGAATTCCATTTCATTGCCGGTATATAAAAAAGCAATTTATTTTGTGCATTAGTGTTAACTTTGTATCCTACAACCCTGCTATAATTGCTTATTAGTTCTAGGAAGGTGATTTTTTTTCTCAATTATTTAGGATGTTATACATAGACAGTTGTGTCACCTGCAGGGAATAAACAACTTTTATTTCTTCCTTCTCTATCTGTATTCCATTTATTTTCTCTACTTGCTTTATTGCATTAGCTACGATGTTGGAAATCAGTGGTGAAAGGGGACATTTGTGCCTTGTTTCCTGCTCTTAGTGAGAAAGCTTTGAGTTTTCATTAAGTAAAATGTTAGCTGCAGGGTTTTTTGGTAGATATTCTTTACCAGATTGAGAAGGTTTCCCTCTTGTTCTGGTTTACTGAGGATATTTTTTGAATCATAAATATGTATTGGATTTTGTTAATTGCTTTTCTCTGCATGTGTTGATGTGATCATGTGATTTTTTCTTTAACCTGTTGATGTGATATGTTAATTAATTTTTCAGTATTGAACCAGCCTTGCATACCTGAGATGAATCCCAGTGAAACATGGTATATAATTCTTTTTATACGTTGTTGAATTTATTTTGCTAATATTTTGTTGAGGATTTTTGCAACCATGTCCATGAGAAACGATGGTCTGCAGTTTTCTTTTTTTGGAATGCCTCTGTCTGGTGTTGATGTTAGGGTAATGTGGGCCTATCTTGTTAGGAAGAATGAAATGCTCTGCAAAAATGGTTCCTTTTCCCCTCCCCAAGCTGGAAGCAGGAGGAGGCTCTTCTCCAATATTCCTTGTGAGAACCTAGTGAAGCTCCAGGAAGTAAAACTCATAATGTGTAGACCCCTGATGATTGAGTCCTCTTGGAGTAAAACTAATGTCATGAATGGGCCCCCTAATGACTGAGTTCTCTTGGGGAACACTGAGCCAGCAGCAGTTCATCAGTTACGGCTCTGCCTTCCCTACTCCCACTCTGGAGCTTTGTGCTTGTGGGTTTCTGCCCTGGTACCATCACTTTCTGTAGTTCCCTGTATGTGTCTCCAATCTTGGGAGCAGCAAATTGTCCTATGACCCCCACCTCTCTGAATGATCTAAGAAGAATTGATCTTTCAGTTTGTGGAGCTTTCTCTTAGGACAGAGTGGTGACTTCCAGCTTCTTACATGCTGAACAGGAAACCAGAAGAAACTGTATTCTGCTTTTTAAAACAATAATCTGTATAAACCAGAAAATAGAAACCAGCAAGTTTGCAAAGAATCCTGATTTGTATTCTCCTGCGAAGGAGAAGCCTGCATGCCCCTCCTCTGGTCACTTTCCTGTGCTGTCTATGAGGGCAGTTGATGAGGTGAGGCTGAGTGCTCCCAGCCCTGGGACTATTTCTGGAAATCGGCCGCCAAGTCTGAGAATTCACACTTTCTTTTGGGACAGGTTAAAAATGGATCTGTACATGGACTGATGACTATTGCAGGCTTGCTATGTGGGAAACAAAATTAACAAACTCTTGGGAACTTGTTCAATTTTATGTTGGTATTCTGTTCACATCTGGAATTGAACAGGAGAGTGCTGACCAGGCTGAAGGATGGCTGAGAAAGAAAGCTCAAGAGAGGGGAGAAAAATAAAAGGCAGCCACATAGGTTAAAGGCACTTTGAATCATTCCTTAGAGATTGTCAAGTATATTCTCTTAACTAATAAAATGGAAGGAAAGGAACGGGAACGGAGAAGGAGAGGGACAGGGAGAGGGAGGAAGAGAGGAAGGAAGGGAGGGAGGGAAGGAAGGAAGGGAAGGGAAGGGAGGAGGGAGGAGGGAGGGAGGAAGAGAGGAAGGGAGGGAGTGAAGGAAGGGAAGGGAAAGGGGAAGGAAGAGAAAGGGGAAGGAAGAGAGGAGGGAAGGAGGGAAGAGGGAAGGAAGAGAGGAGGCAAGGAAGGGAAGGGAAAGGGGAAGGAAGGGAAAGGGGAAGGAAGAGAGGAGGGAAGGAAAGGAAGACGGAAGGAAGAGAGGAGGGAAGGAAGGGGAGAGGGAAGGAAGGGAGGAGGGAAGGAAGGCAAGAAGGAAGGAAGCGAGGAGGGAAGGGAAGAGGGAAGGGAAGAGGGAAGGGAAGATTGCTTTGAGTAGGGAAGAGACTCACCTAAGTTCATGAAGCTAATTATTATCTGAGGTAGAAGAGGAAGTCTCTTCCCTTGTCCCTTAGTTAATAAAGCGTATGTTTGGAACAAAGTATTTGCTTTTTTTTTTTTTTTTTTTTTTTTTTTTTTTTAGGCATTATGCTTTTTAATTGTCTACAAAAAATATAAGAATACCTGTATGGCTAACCTGGGAAATATTTAGTTGTAGTGTGTAACAGTCTGTTCTCATGCTGCTGATAAAGACATACCCAAGACTTGGTCATTTATAAAGGAAAGAGGTTTAATTGACTCACAGTTCCACATGGCTGGAGAGACCTCACTATCATGGCGGAAGGTGAATGAGGAGCAAAGTCACGTCTTCCATGGCAGCAGGCAAAGGGAGCGTGTGAAGGAGAACTCCCCTTTATACAACCATCAGATCTCTTTAGACTTATTCACTATCAAGTTAATAGGATGAGAAAGACCTACCCCCAAGATTGAGTTACCTCCCACCGGGTCCCTCCCACAACATGTGGGAATTATGGGAGTTACATTTCACCATGAGATTTGGGTGGAGACACAGCAAAATCATAAAATAGTGATTTAAGGCTTTCATATACCTCTATCAGGTAAACCACATAAACACCCTGTCAGGGCGACAGGAGCTGGCTTCTTGTCCTACTAAGCACCAGCTGTGAATCTTGGGGCAATTTAACATCCCAATGCTTCAGTTTCCATATCTGTCATGGGGGTGGTAATGATAATATGATATTTAGTGTGTGTGACAACTAAGTAAATCATCACATGTAAAGAACTTAGAATGAGGCTTAATAAGTGTCAAAAGTGTCTATTATCAGCATGACTGTGATTATTATTATGGACTTAGCACTGTTCCTCCTCACAAAGAACTTGATGATAATGGTCTGCAGGGTGACTTGGCTGGGGTGTGTCTGCTTTCGCTCTGCAGGACTGGCTTTCCTGACCAGCATCCTTTCCATTTCCATGTGATTTCCTCTCTATTACAGGAGGTAGCAGACGTAGACAGCGTCTAGTAAGAATCCCATGGCTTAGGTTTACTGCTCTTGCTGGAACACAGTATTTAATTCTTTAATTAATTCTTTACATTTCAATACATCTGATTCCCCTTTGAAGCAGCTAAAAATGGTTCCAGACCAAATACCAGCTGCCTTGTTATCAAGCTTTATTTTTCCAGAGGGTGGGGGTTGGTAGGGAGGAAACATCTTCCAATCTCCTGACTCATTTACTTATAAAAGAAAATATGGCATATTCTGATTCTCTTTGATCTCTTTAATATGCAGTAAACTTCATCTTGCAAATTTATAATGTTTGGATGATTTTGTTAAAAAGAAAGAATTAATACTTCAATTCTCCCTAAAAGGTCTATTGTTTATTTTACTTCATTTATCATTCCAAGTATTTTCTTTTTTCCCTCTGCCTTATTCTTCACTCTCCTCTTCTATCATCTTTGCACTCACACTTCTGGAATTCCTGCTTCTCATGTTGTCTTTTCTCACCCTGGTAACACAGACTTCACATCCATGTCACAGCCGCAGGAAAGCTCAGGCTGCCCTCACATTGGACCTGTCCTGTGGGATTTATGCCCCTGTGCACCATCCTATTTAGGCATTTTCCTCTAGGAAGAAATGCTACTAAAAGCTTCCAGAAAGCTTACATTCCAAAAAAAAACCACTAAAATTTAATATTTTTAAATAGTAGACATATTATGACTGGCTGTTTTGACATTCCACTGAAATAATTTATGAGTGTTTTACATCTTTACATTTCAGTACATCTGATTCCCCTTTGAAGCAGCTAAAAATGGTTCCAGACCCACTACCAGCTGCCTTGTTATCAAGCATTATTTTTTCAGAGGGTGGGGGTTGGTAAGGAGGAAACATCTTCCAATCTCCTGACTCATTTATTTATAAAAGAAAATATGGCATATTCTGATTCTCTTTGATCTCTTTAATATGCAGTAAACTTCATCTTGCAAATTTATAACGTTTGGATGATTTTATTAAAAAGAAAGAAAATACTACTAAATTAAATTCTGGAATAAAATTCTTACTTGTTTCATTGGTATCTAAGTGGGTTGACTTTGAAGCATGGCAAAGATTATGTATAAAATTCAATATCAAAATTAACACTGATATTTGAACTAACTGGAAGTCCCATCTTATACAATCCTGTAGTTTTCTCGAAGGAAAAACATATCATCTTTATCTTTATATCACTCCAATGCATCTAGCAAAGTGAGACACACAGCTGATGAAAAATAAATGTTTGTTAAATGAACTGAGTATGGGCGGTATCAGGGAGATGCTTAAAATGACACCTCCTCAGAATTGAAAAAAAAAAAAATATTACCTCTTCCCCTGCCTCCTACATCTGCAATTTCACTGTTTTTGTTTTTTGGGGTTTTTTTTTTTTTTGGTATTTTTTTTCTACATAGCTCACAATCTCCAGATGCTCATTTAATAGGGACAATTTTAATTTCTCTCTTGTGACTGAGAAACGTTCAGTTTTGTCTGTGTTCGTAGGATTCTCACACTTGTCTCTACTATGAGGGTCCCCTCCTGCTGATACTATTTTCACTGCCTATTCACATAATTCCAAATATCTTTCACTTTCATTTCAAAGATGTTAAACTGAAATTGACCAGTGTATAATTTTTCCTTCAGCTCCAAAGAAACCTTTTGGTCATACAAGCAGACATTCTCATATAAAGCTTCTGTTTCATTACAACTCTTATAGACAATCATCAAGATGTCTTTAGATAAACTGATCTACCTCTTAGCTTGAAAATGTCATTTTCTCTTCAGCCTGGTGAGTATTTATGTATCTTCCATTGCCTTGCTCAGATATCTCCCACTTAATCAAACTTTCTTTTTTGTCACAATTGGAAATAGATGTTTCCACCAATGGCCCATTATATAAGCCACTATGATAACATGCATGTCCATGCATAAGAATTGAATACTTCTATGTCATTTTCTCCCCTAAAAATCATAAGCCTCTAGAGGGTTAGACTCTTGTATTTTACTTATTTGTAATCAATAGCCAGAGATAAGGACAGCCTGGCACCCATAAAACACTGGATAATGTGAGCAGAACAAATATTTGGAGTCTATGTTATATATAGCACCAACTATCTAATGGGAGAGTCTTGTAAACAGATTAGGGTGGCGTTAATTGAACAATTATTCTTTTACAAGGTAAGTGCTGAGCTAGAATTTAATGAAAATAGTTTTTAGAGAAAATAAGTAATATACTGAGCTAACTTTTGCATGGGTATCTACTATCTAGGTTTTTTATTGTGTCTTATTAACAAACAGATGGCAATACTTTTTTTCAGTAAACTTTCAGAAATATGGAAGAATGTAAAAGTTTAATCTTATGAAATGTATCAAAGTGTAGGATAATAAACAGGAATCAAGGTAATCAATAAGCATTACTAAATATGTGTTTATTTCCTTTTGAAAAGGCAAGGAATTTTGAAAATGTCCTGGAAAAGCATTCTTAGGAATTCCTTCACCGATTCAATTTTGTTTATGAAAAAAATGTATTCGATCACCTTTCTCCTTATATTTTAAAGACAGAAAAATGTACCTAAGATACAGAAATTAAATGCTCCCTAATTATTTATGTTATAAACTTATCAATCGTACAAATATAAGACATGGATTTCTATCCTAATTTAAAAGATGTGTAGTTATTCTGTAAATTAGAGGTGGCTCTTTCAGGAAAATTAAAGCATTTATGCTTATTTAACCATATATAAGCTGATGAAACAATACACTCTGAAGGAAAGAGAAGCTGACTCCTTATTCAGAGGAGGTTAAGCTCTGTGAAAAACACACTGAAATTATAGGGTCTTATGTAAAACAAGGTTGTTTGTTGCTCATGTGAAAGTCTTGGGTAGTGTTTAGAATGGTAGTGACTTCCTCTCCGTGTAATATTTAGAGACCCAGGTCCCTTCCACTGGGTCCTCCCATCCCCAACCCCGCCTCCTGCCATCCGCCATTGTTTCTGAATGAAGAGGGGCTGCAGATCCCTTAGCATAGGGGAGGGGAGTGGGAAGTTTGCTGGGCTAGGCCTGAAGTGCGGCGTTCATCACTTTCTCTCTCTCCCCTTTGCACTAGACTTGGGCTCATGGAAAAGGAGTCTGGGTGCTACGGTCTAACCCACCGTGGGTTTCAGTGGGTAGCTGGTACTCTTCCTTTTTCATCACCGAAGCTTCCATGAATCCGTCTGTTCCTGGAACACATTAGTGAGGTGCTCCAATAGCTGTAATTTCTATTAGGTTGGTGTAAAAGTAATTGTCATTTTTTCCATTATTTTCAATAGCAAAAACCGCAATTACTTTTGCACCAATCTAATACAGCAGTAACTGGGCTGTTGGCAACTCCTAGAAAGACTATTGTGGTAATTAATTTTGGTTATTCGAATGGCTTTTGATTGCTTTACATGTTAGATGTTCAAAAATATGTTTGGGGCAGAGTTTGAGACCAGCCTGGGCAACATATTGACACCCCATCTCCACTAAAATACAAAAATTACCCAGGCGTGGTGACATGCACCTGTAATCCCAGCTACTCAGGAGGCTGAGGCATGAGAATTGCTTGAACCCAGGAGGCAGAGGTTAGGGAGATGAGATCGCGCCACTGTACTCTATTGTGGGTGACAGAGTGAGACTCTATCTAAAAAAAAAAAAATATTGAACATGAGTGTGGAACTCATATGTTGGTAAGAACAAAACTTACAAGCCACTGAGTTGTAGCTTAGGGTTCTGTCCAAAGGCTTCATTGGCAGATGAAGAAATGAAAGCTCTTAGAACTCCCTCAGCAAAACTGGAGCAACATGGACACTGGACTGCAAGTTTTGGTCATGTTAGAAAGAAAGAAACTTCTCTCTGAAAAGCACAAGGCTAAGTTATTAAGTAAGAAATCCATTCCAATAGCATTATTTTGATAGTATATGAATATCAAGATTCTGAGGAATCAGAAAAATTAAATTAAATGATTAAGCAGTTTATAATAGCATATTAGTTCTGAAATAAAATACCAATTATTACTGTTTAAATCGAGATATTTTGTTTCAAAGTTTTATTGATTTAATATCTTTATTTATCATCTTAGAAATTTATTTACAGAATTAGGTTCAGTGATCTCTGAGTAAAATTGTTTACTTATTTTCAGTTTTCTGTTTCTCTTTTACCTCGTTGGTGATTTTCCTCTGTTCTAAAGAACACATTTATCATTATTATTTTTTCATAAAGTAAGGAAAAACTTTCTCTACAAATCAAGACCTCTAACTGGATTATTTAAATCTAGAGGAAACAATGCAAGCTAAAGCCACCAGGTTTTTATCATTGTGGGGTTTGGTTTTGTTTTTCTGTTTTTGGATTTGTGCTTATATTGGTGTTGGTAGGAGTGTAAATTAGTTCAACCATTGTGGAAGACAGTGTGGCAGTTCCTCAAGGATCTAGAACAGAAATACCATTTGACACAGCAATCCCATTACTGGGTATATACCCAAAGGATTATAAATCATTCTCCTGTAAAGACACATGCACACGTATGTTTACTGCAGCACTGTTTACAATAACAAAGACTTGGAACCAACCCAAATGCCCATCAATGACAGACTGGATAGAGAAAATATGGCACATATATATCATGGAATACTATGCAGCCATAAAAAATAATGAGTTCATGTCCTTTGCAGGGACATGGATGAAGCTGGAAACCATCATTCTCAGCAAACTAACACAGGAACAGAAAACCAAACATCACATGTTCTGACTCATAAGTGGGAGTTGAACAATGAGAACACATGGATACAGGGAGGGGAACATCACACACTGGGGTTTGTCGGGAGGTGGGGGCCAAGGGGAGGGAGAGCGTTAGGACAAATGCCTAATGCATGCGAGGCTTAAAACCTAGATGATGGGTTGATAGGTGCAGCAAACCATCATGGCACATGTATATTTATGTAACGAACCTGCATGTTCTGCACATGTATTCCAGAACTTAAATAAAGAACACTTCACATGAGATCTACTTTCTTAACAAACTTGTAAGTGTACAACCCACTATTGTCAGCTGTAGGCACAATGTTGTTCATCGGATCTCCAGAACATACTCATCAGATATAACCCAAACCATGTACCCCTTAAATAGCAATTCTCCATTTTCCTTTCTTCCCTACACCTGGCAACCTCCATTCTTTTCTCTGCTTCTGTGCATTGTAGATTCCCCATGGAAATGGAATCCTACGGTATTTGACTTTCTGTAACTGACTTGGTTCACACAGTATAATGACCTTGAGGTTCATCCATATTGTTGCTATGGCAGGATCTCCCTTTTGAAGAGTGAAGAGTAATCCTCCATGGGCTATATATACACCACATTTTCTTTATCCATCAATCAGTGGACATAGTAGGATTTTTTCTGTACCTCCACTGTTTTGAATTACACAGCAATGAACATGAGAACACAGATAACCTCTTTGACATCCTGATTTCCTTTTTTTTTCTTTTTTTTTTTTTTTGAATATGCAAGTAGTGTTGCTGGATTATGTGATGATTCCATTACAGACCTCGGTTTAATTTTGAAGCAGAATCAGGTAGGAGAGGAAAATCTCTTGTTTACCAGTGATTCCATCAAGAATATTCTCTGAGAAAAATGCCTTTTAAAAGCCGCACATAGGTGATGACAATAATTCACATTGTCACAGTGCCTGATAGTTCCCGAGACATAGGACAGACCAGCTTCCCGAATCTCCCCATTTCTGTCCCCTAATTTCCAGCTCCCACTTGTTCATTAGACGAGTCCAGGTTAATGCATCAGGCCAAGTTAGCAAAAAATCATGTGTTGGGCCTCGGTTGCAGTGATGATCATTACTCAAGCTGGCTGGGTCAATGCAGTTATTTTTATTTTTATATGTTTATCATATACCAATCCATTTGACAAAATCATTTATTGGATTTAACGGTGTCTCAGGTGTGAGTGCTTGGATTTTCTAAGAATATAATAATATGTATAGGTAAGTATCTTTTTCTAAATTTATTTGGAAACATATTGCGAATATAAATGTATTTTCTCGACTTATTTTATTAGCTGATACATTCAAAACAGTTGAGCAAAAGTTGAGTATGATGGTAGGCATAAAAAATGTTAAATGGTAGTCACTCAATAGTTATTGAATGAATGACAGCAAATACTTCAACACCTTCTTATCATAAATGTCAAGCAGGCTGCCATGGCAAAGTGCAATGATCATAGACACTATGACGCTGTAGACTTTTACAGTACAAGAGGAATTACCTGGCTTAGACGGATGATAAGAGAGACTATATATTAAAAGCACACTTCACGTAAAAAAAGCATATCCATTACACATAGTTCTCTAAGATTCAAATTCACAGTTCTTGTTCATTTATGCACCTTTACAGAACTATAGTTCTTTAAGTAAAAGGTATTTTCATAAACGTTTCAATTATGATAGCTTTTTTTATTTCCTGTGCCAGAAAATATTGATTTTCAGGCTGTTTAATCTCTTATACCATTTAGAGACAGAGAGACCAAACAGACATATAATTTAAAAGACACCAGAAGGAATTGGTTGATCTGTTTTTCAATCAAACTTTTTCTTTCAAAAGAAAAACTGAGTACCTACTATGGGCAGCACACCGTCATACACACTGGGGATTTACTGGTGAGTCCAACAGATTGGTCATGCTCTTGTGGAATGTACTGTCTACAACCATCATACACAAATAAAAGCAAAGATCTGCTGTTAATATACTGATGAGGCTGAAACTAAAGTCAAAGAGAAAAGAAAACTCAACAAGAAATGCTATAGTTAAAAATTAATAAAAGTAAATGCGAGATTTCAGGATATATAGAGTCCTTTTTTAAAATGAGGAGTGGCAATGGTTAAACAAGTTTTTTGTCTGAAATAACATAATGTAGAGCACTTATGGGGTTTAATGTGTGTTTGCATGGAATGACGTGGTCATGGCCCTCAGAATTTGGTAATGACTGTTGTTGGAGAAATATTACTATTTCGTCAGCTATAATCACTGACAAAGGGTGGGAAAGAATTTGTTCTCTCTGTCTTTTTTGTTTTGAGCAATTATTATATGCCAGAGACTGCAGTAGGGACTTTATAGAATTGCCATTGTATCTATGCATTTGTCCTCGTATTACTGTAAAGACTGAGCCTCGGAGAATCTAAAATGATATGCGAGTGCAAGAATGTGCACCCAGAACTTTCTAGTTCTACGTTCTGCTCATTCTACTGCAATAGTAAAAAAAAAATGTTTCTGTTCATAAGAATGATTACTGTTTTAGGAGTAATCATGAAGTTATTTTTATCATATATAACCCATAATTAGAAATTTAGAGATTGGTAGGCTTGTAGGTTTGTAGGTAACATATGTAGAAATAATTTTTTAACTTGTTTGTGGACATAATTGTTATTCTTAACTTCAGACTGCAAAGGTTAGAGCCTGAGTCTTGCATGCCCATTATTAAAATGCATTTCAGTTACACCTCTAAATACAGTTCTCTCCCTTATTCTAGGGGGGTATGTTCCAAAACCCCCAGTAGATTCCTCATACCTTTGACAGCACCAAAGCCTGCATGTAGCATGTTTTTTCCTATACAGACATACCTCTGATAAAGGTTCATTTATAAATAAGGCCCACTACGCTTGCATGTTATAAAGTCAAATAACGACAACTTGAACACAAATGCTGCACTACTGCAACCATGAGTCTGAAAAGCCATATGGCTACTAAGTGACTAATGTAGATAGTGTGAATCCACTGGACAAAGGAATGATTCATGTCCTGGCTGGGATGGAGTGGGATGGCGCTAGTCAGAACAGCTAGCAATTTAAAACTTATACATTATTTATTTCTGAAATTTTTCATTTAATGTTTTCAGACCTCAGTGGACCACAGTTGACCTTAGGTAACTGAAACCACAGAAAGTGAAACTGCAGATGAGGAGAACACGTGAAACATTTAAGAGAGTTTATGTTGACATGAGAAAAGTATTCTTGAAATATCCACCTCGACTTCTTCAAAGTCTTCCCTTTGCTCTACGTTCTATTGCCTAAAATAGTTGTTTAAATGATGCCTAATAAAAATAAAAAGAATACCTTAAATGAGATGATGACCGTTAATCTTACATTAAGACAAAACAATCATTCATGTTTTTAAGCATCCTGTTCGGGGATCACAATATGAATAAACTATCTAGCAGTAAATTCTATCTCTGGCCCAGCAATGTTATAGAGGATATTAATATATATGTGTATATATACACATACATATATATGCATACACATAAACATATACACATATATGTGAGATATCATTATGTGTCATGATACTCCTTTTCTTCATGGTTGTCCCTTTTTATTTTGTTGTTGTTATTATATCTTTTTTGGCCCACTGTCTCAGATGTCATAACCCAAGGTAGTTACTCCCAAACAAATAATAATAACTTCCATTTGGACATCATCAACCTCTTGGTGCATACAAATCAAAGGGTCAAAAACAAGGGTACTCGTTCTCAAGTTGTAAAAGATCACTGGTTATACAAACACCTTTGTTTAGTGCAGAGAACGTGGAATAAGGTTACGCCAGAGACAGATAAATAGAAATCCTCCAGGCAATGGACCTCTACCCATGTTTTCCGTAAGTCAACATGCCTCCTTTTTAGAAACCTGTTTAAAATTGCCAAACATAACACACATTCAGAAACTGGCCAAAAGTAAAATTTACAGCTCAATTCTTTATCGCAAGAGGAAAACCTCCACCACTCCCACAGTGTCCAGAGCTAGAACATTTACTAACACCTCTCACTTTCGTCCCTCTCTCCCGCTCAAAAACAACCAGTTCCCCGAATGCCATTAGAACAGCTATCCTGTTCTTCTTTTTAGTAACAGTCTGTGGCACCCAAGATAAACTCTGTAGATTCCTTCATCTTAAATGCTTCAATTTACACAAAAGGAGTCATACTCCGTATTCTCTTGTTTCTGGTGTTTTGTTCAATAGTTTGTTTACACGATCTACGCAAGTTTTTGTCTACAGTAATAGTTCATTATTTTTTCGGGCTGTGATATATGAACACATTTGTCTCAATTTATTATTATATGTTTAGTGATTCTACTGTGTGGTGGTTACAGAATATCCCTGGTAACCTATGCACAAAAATTGGCATAATTGACACTCGCTGACGATCCATTTCTATGATCTCTCTTACATGATGTTTATATTCACTAAGCCAACCTCTCCCTGGAGTTCCATCCTCTTCAGAGACATTGTATTCTCCCAGCCTCTTTATACTTTTCACCTCGTATAACTTCTCCTCTTCAGAGACATTGTATTCTCCCAGCCTCTTTATACCTTTTCACCTAGTATAACTTCTCTTCAGACACATTGTATTCTCCCAGCCTCTTTATACTTTTCACCTCCTACAACTTCTCCCGCTTCTTTCTCTCTTGTGGATGTCCTCTGGGATTTAGTTCATAGATATCTGCTTTTTTTCTTTCCATGCATACTACCCTAGATAATTTATTCTCACATCTCAGCCATCACATCTGTGGCAATGAATACAATACTAACCATTACTTTCCCTTGATATTTTCCATTTACCTGCTTAACAAATACATTTACTTTAAAGATCTCAGTATAGCTCTTGTATGCAAATTTACTTCCCTTCCTTCCCTCTCTTCACCTTTACTAACTTTCTTATTTTTCTAATATTCTTGTCAATGCCCATATCAACTTCACTTTAACTTCAAATGCATTTATTAAAGTTATTCACTAAAATCTGATATTTATAACATACCTACTCGCAGGGGCGATAAATATAATGAAGTAATAATGTATTCCACTGTTGACCTTTTACAGAATTAATATCTTTGTTTTATTATTGCCCTCTTATATGTTATCGCTTATCCACCTTGTTTAAACTAGTTGATAAAGTAACTCCTTGAAAGTCTTGCTGGTTCTTGCAATTTACCAAGCAGGACCTTCAGAATCACTCTTTGTGGAAGAGCAGTTTCGTCTGTCAGATGTGTGCATGCCTCAATAAAGTAATAAGAACCTGACCCCTCTCTGCAGACTTGCCTGCTTGTATTGTACCAGGAAGAGCTCACACTTCCCCATATGGGCATCTCCCTGGTTCTTAATCCCAAGCGTTTTTCATGACGTCTTTTACCTGGGCTGCTTTCTTCTTTCCTGTGCTTATCCAGAATCCCAAGATTTATTTAAGACTCACCTTGTTTGTGAAGTCTTTCTGAGGCTCCTCAATTTTCTGTCTTGCTTTCCTTTGATGGCATCTTCCTGTTGGTTTTGTTTCTTTATCTTGGTTTAAATCCCTAAACAGAAATGACTGCATTTTAACATTTCATTTCTGTGTCCTTTAGCACTTTCATCAGTGCTGTATTCTTAAGAGATCTGTACTAGATATTTCTATGCCTGGGTAATTAATTAGAAAATGTTTCAATTACTTTTTTTTAATTCTAAGGAATTTAGCTTTACAGTTTGTATAGAACCACTGGCCATGTGTATGTAATGTTGAGCCCTGTGATCTAAATCATTTTCATCTTCATTGCTATTATTTTGACTTCTGGGGTGTAGTAAGCATAGAAACCAAAGACAATTACCCTTAGCTGCCAAGTCTCCAGGGGGAATCTCGGTAATAACTCTGTTAGCTTGGCCAACATCCTCTTCTATAAAATGAAGGTTGACTACTTTTAGAGATTACAGTTGATGCATTCAGAGGGCTTAGCTAACTGTCTGGAACCACAAAGTAGGTACTCGATAAACATGAGCTCCCTCTTTGCAGATAAAATTAGAAAGAAGTAACTTTATTTTACCTTGACAACACTATTTTGAATGAACTATTTTATAATTGAATCATCTTTCTGCAAGTTTCAGTACGAGTCTGGACATTTTCTCCTATCCCTCCCTAAAATTCAATTTAATTTAGTGATTTAAATCAATTTTAAAATTAAAAGTTTGAACTAAAATTCATTTTAAAAAATTAAAAATTAAGTAAATGCCTCTGAAGCATGCATTAATATTATGAACTGATTTAGAAATATATACAAAAATATGCACATGCTATATAAGATTATATAAATACATAAGAAATAAGTTAACGTGTGTGTGTCTAAATAGTTAAATAAAATAGAAATCAACCTCACTCACAAATAACCTTGGAAACAAGTAGTTTGTACTTTGATGGAAGCTAAGCAAGAGTTGAGTCAGCCAACAATCATCGTTCAACCCCGTCTGCTAAGCATTGGGTTAGCATTAACAGTAGAAAGATAACTGCGTGTCCCTCCCCGATTAGGTTACTTTAAGTCCCACAAAGGACAAAGTGGATTATTTCCATGTTTGAGGACTAAAATAGATGTATAAGCAGGGTATCTCACACACATGGAGGACACTTCCAGCAGATGACAATGAAGCCTGGGGCTGCGGGACGTTTACTGTACTTGTCATTTTACACGCAGACGTCGCTCCTGTTGTGTCTTTAGGAAACCCCACGGGCAGTTGCAGGTCTGTGTCCGTGAGCTTCTTGAAGGCACCATGCATTCAAACGCCAACAGGATGCCTGAGCATTTCTACGACTGCACCAAAGAAAAAGAAATTATTTTTCTACCGTTGATTCTGGACAGCTGTGCTTGCTACCAATCTTTCTGCTAAGCTTCAGACCTTACACATATTTCTTGCAGAATTGTTTCGGGGAGCTTTGTGCTGAAAGGAGTTGTGTATTTTTAGCTTGCACACTATTTATGCTCTGCCTTCCCTTTAATTGGAGTATGGTAATTTCCTCACTGGGGCACGAGTTCCCATTCTTACCTGTCTTTACTTAAATGCCTGCCTTTGCCTAAATGGCAGCATCCACCATGTGTACTCCACTCATCCGTCTTTCCTCCCTGCTCCTCAGTGGAGCTACTATATACAGAACAAGCTGGATTTGGGAAAGGAGACTAAAGAGAGATGACAGGTTATAACTGTGAAACACAATTGGGCCTGGAAAGGTTATGCATAAATTGAAAAGCGGTTAATATTTCCCCCCAAAATACAATCATTGACAGCATTTATTAAGAACTTGATTTTTTTGTAGTGCCAGGCCAGTGGCTATATAAATAGATTTACTTTGTCAAGTGAGAGATAATCGTTTCAAAATTCCTTGCTTTGGGTTGCAAAGAAGTAATGATATTCAACATCATGATGAAGATGAGTTTAGAGGAAGTGATCATCCAGGAGTAGCACAGTCTGGAGGCCAAGGAAAGGTAAAAGACCACATGCTCTGGAATATTCTACTAAAAGAAATACCAAAAAACTGAGTCAAGGGCTATAGACAAGCTGTCTGGGATGTCACTGCTGCTGAAATGTCGATGGCGTCTGTCTAGCAGTACTCACAGAAGCAGGAGAAAGAGACAGAGAGGAAATGGGTATTTTATTTTATTTTTGTAAGTGTTTCTTTTCAAGCCTTATTGTCTCCCTTTCGTTTTGTAGCTTTGTAAGCTATTAGTTTGCTTCCTCCAGCCTCTGTGCCTGCGCTCTTTGATTCACAAAACAAGCATTAAATGGTCTGGAAAGCCTGGGAAAGATCTGTCCTGATATTGTAAACCTTCTGTGAACTCATTTTTCTAAACCTTGATTACCCATCAAAAGTCCATGTCTCAGGATGTCTCAGCTCTAAGGAAATGCTTTCAAAATTACTCCCAGCTTTGTTCCAGGCAAGTAGCTTTTTACTCATTTTCAGCTGATGATTGAATGCAAGTGCTGTGCCTGCTTTGTCAGAGTGGCAGGATAAAGGGAGGGGGAGACCAAAAGGAGCTATGAGACAGGGAGAGGAGGAACAAACCAGGAATAACAATAACAAGAGAGCCACAAGGAGCAGAGAGAAGGCAGGAGGCGAGGCGAAGTTCAAAACAGAGGTCATTCAGCCGTGTTAACATACTCCCTGGTATATTACCCGACTTACAAGTTCCGCAAACGGAGATTCCACGTTCTCTTGGCTTGCCTTCCATAGAATGTCCAGGCTTTTATGTTTTCTTTCTGAGATGGCACATGAATCTCATCAGCTCTCTCCAGCCCCCTGTCAGGATGGACTCCTGCGCTGCTGATCACTGGAGGCAGTCTGAGCAGAACCTAAGGAGTCCTTTGATCCTGAACCATTGTTCACACTTCAATCCACCTTATCCCAGCCACGGACTGCTGTGGTGCACAGATAGCAAAACTCAGGTTGTTTTTTTCTCTTTGCAAAAGTGAAAATGAGCAGGATAAACATGGAATTTAAATTTTCTCTTCATAGTATGGTTTCAAAGGAATTGCGAGTCGACAAAACTAGGCATTGCTACTTTTCTTTAACTTAGCTCATGTATGCCAAAATTTGATTGGCATCATTTAAGTGGAACAAAAGAAAAAGAAAACAGTGCCAATTAAGACCACATTAAGTATCTCTGTAGGAATTACACGAGTCGCAGTTGCTGAAGGCCAGACTATTTGCACTTTGGAGTACTTAGACCTTTGGTTCTTGTCATTTGCCATATAGAATTTATCCTAACCTGGGGTTAGGAGGGTAAGATGGAGCAAAAAACACAGAAAAATTAAATGAAATCCACTTACATTAATAATTCTAATATTTGTTGATAAAGAGGCTATGACAAATGTTAGCTAGAATGGGCTATTAAGAAAGTATATTTGAATGTTAAAATATTTAGTGGAGATCTCACCAAATCAACAATATAACTCTCCTATAAGGAGGGAAGCTAACCTTTCTTGGGCCAGATAATTTGATAGTATTTTACTTACATTTTTATCTCATCTATTCTTCCACAAGGTCTGCAGCATACATTTTAATATTTGTGCCCTAAAAAGCAATTCTTTTTTTTCTTTTTTTCTGAGATGGAGTCTTGCTCTGTCACCCAGGCTAGAGTGCAGTGGCGAGATACTGGCTCACTGCAACTTCTGCCTCCTGAGTTCAAGCAATTCTCCTACTTCAGCCTCCCGAGTAGGTGGGATTACAGGCACACGTCACCAGGCCTAGCTAATTTTCTGTATTTTTAGTAGAGATGGGGTTTCACCACGTTGGCCATGCTAGTCTCGAACCCTTGACTTCGTGATCCGCCCGCCTCAGCCTCCCAAAGTGCTGGGATTACAGGCGTGAGCCACCGTGCCCAGCTGAGAAATCATTTTGTATTAGTCACATTTTTATGACAGCAATTTATAGTTTTCAGGTAGTTTCCCATTATTAATCCTTTTATAAAAATCCCAGGATTTCTCATGAAATTCTGGGTAATGCTAAGTATAATGGAAGTCCCGGTTCCTACCTCACTTGTTTATAATAATGCTGCCTGTTGTCCATGTGTTTTAGAAGCAGGGTGAATAGTGAATCTGGTTTCTTTCCTTGTCTCCCTGTCCCTAGTGCTTTTCTGCCACGTTCTAAGTGATCTCTTGTTGCTTTTATTTATTTTCTCCCTCTTTAGTACTTCTTTTCTTTATTTTCTCCACTGTTTTTTTCTGCTGCCTTTTAATTATGTATATCACTGCGTATTTTTTCTTCTTTCAATTTGTCCTAACAATGAGAATTTTAAGCTTTTGTTTCCATGTTTCAGGTAGAATTGCTACCTACCCTGACTCTATTTTCTAAGTTTATTCTCTTTCCTAGTCTATTTTCCACAAAATTATAGAAAGATATAATCATGATAGAGAATAGGTAATCAACAAGACAATCTATGCAGCCATTTTTGCATACTTAACCCAACTGACTGGAATTCAAAGGCTTCTTTTTTTTTAATGGCAGGAATGGTGATGAAGATGCCAAGTAACAAAAATGTGGATGAAGCGAACTTTCTTTTAAAACCCATAGTTAGTGTAATTTGTGAAGTTTTATTGACTTGCATTATTTTTAATCCATAGCCCAGATAAATCTCCAATAATGTTTATTAGATAGAAGCAATTTATTGTTGTAAAATAAACGTAAAACTTGGATAGAATTGTCTTCACATGAAAGTATAATAATGTTTTCAAGCAATATATGCGATAAACTAATTGTAGGGAAACTGACTTGTGAATATTAAAATAGAAAATCTATTCATATTTCACTTTAGTAAGTCTCAAATGTCACTGAGCAATTGCAATTTACCATGGCCATGAAAATAACTACTAACCTACATGTTTTGTCTATGAAAGTTATAAGAAGAAAGTAAATGACATTCTTCCTTTACGTTTGTTCAGTTTACATGGAAATCTGTTTTTGGTAAGGAAGATAGAGCTGGTTTCTTAACATTTATGTGGCTGACAGGAATATTGGTTTTTGAAACAACAATATCTTACCCCAGTTTTCTCTACTCTAACTCTCTTCATTTTTCTACACCTCCCTTTGGAAGCCTTGTGTTGTCCACTAGATAGGATGGGACCCAAGAATACCATTCATGTTCCTTCCCCCAGGGCCTCTGAGGTCTTCTCCTATATCTATGTGTACATGCTTAAGGCATTTGAAGTTAATCAGTAGAACCAAGTTGACCTTTTTAACCAATTTTTAAAAATTCAAGTCAGTTGTTAGTGTCTATCATTTTAATTTCTTGGTCTTTGCTTCTTTATATGAGGTCAGTCATGGCTGGAACTAAATAAAAACTGTGTCCTGCTGTGAATGATGTCCTCTAGTGGCTCCTCCTCAGCTTAGTAAATACTATTCTTAGGGATAGAGTTGATTCTATTTAAATTATTTTTAAATGTTGAATTATTAGGTTTTTGTTTTTGATATTTTAAGATATTCTTTTGAGGTAGAGTTGCACTCTCTCACTCGATCTGGAGTACATTGGCACGCTCATAGCTCACTCCAGCATCAAATTCCTGGCCTCAAGCAATCTCCCCACCTCAGCTAGTAGCCGGGACTACAGGTGCATGCCCCATTGCCTGGCTAATGTTTTAAAAATGTTTTCGTAGAGATGGGATCCCAATATGTTACCCAGGGTGTTCTTGAACTCCTGGACTCAAGCAATCCTCTTGCCTCAGCCTCCCAAAGTGTTGGCATTACAGGCGTGAACCACCAGTCCCGACCATCAGTAGCTTTAGAATGTGTTTGTATCAGTAGTAATCCTTTACCAAACTAACAACCATCATTTAGGTGCCTAGTTAAGAGTGAACATACACACACACGCACAAACTCTCTCTCTCTTAGGATTTTAAAATTAACTTTTAGGAAGAATGACAATTATTTGTTAAGACAATCTTAAATTATTTTACCTAATATATTTTTGTGCTTCCAATGTAGGTATATAACGCTTACTGTCTTAAGGTGAAGAATACTATTGCTGCCTTTAAAAAAAAATCTAGTCTTCTTACGGTACCAGAGCAGGTCTTCCAGAATACAGATGGTTCAGTATACTTTTATAAGCAAATGTATTAACCTCAGAACTGAAATATTTAATATTGATCTTTTTTCTTTTGGCCTTTATTCTGACACAACCTTGATCTTCAGATCGGAATTGGGTGTTGAGACTTAACTAGACTCAAATCAATTTTTAATAAGAGTTTTCACTGCCTGTGACAGTTTCTTCCATCTAATTGATAGCACAGGCCCATGTTAAATGAAAAATGTATTTTTCAAGCATGTTCTGTATAACAAAGTATGCATGAGAAGCAGCATCTGGAGTAAATTACTGTGTGCTCTGAATAAGGATCAAGAACTGTATGGAAAGAGATTTGTGTCCCATAGAGTTGCTTGGGTGTTACCTGTGCCCATGGTCAGTTTCCATGGGTCTACATGTGACGACTCATTCTCAAAAATCCTTTTACCTTCAGTTGTCTACATATTTTGATCAAATATAAATCCAAAGGCGGCACTAGTGCTTCATGGACATAATTAAACCAAAATATTTAATCCCTTTACTGAAAACGATTATATTGTTTTCACTTCTAAAAACTAGAGCAAATCATGTGAGAAATATTATAATGATCAGATGTGGTTTAAAAGAAATCAACTTTATATATACTGAGGAATCTAAGCTCATGTTTACTTGTGATGTAAAATATAATTTGAGTTCACCTTCCGTAGTTTTGCCTTTTCCAGAATGTCAGATATTTGGCATCCTACAGACTGCCTTCTTTCACTTAGTAATATGTGTTTAAATTTTCTCCTTGGATCACCTGAGGCGAGGAGTTTGAGACCATCCTGGGCAACATAAGAAGATCCCGTGTAGACAAAACATTAAATCGTTAGCTGAGCATGCTCACATATGCCTGTAGTACCAGCTGCTCAGGAGGCTGAGGTGGGCAGATCCCTTGAAGTCAGAGGCTGTAGTGAACTATGATCGCACTCCTGTGCTCTAGCGTGGACAATAGCGTAAGACCCTGTATCTAAAAAGAATAATAAGGAAACCATATTTTCTTCATGTCTTTTTGTGTCTTGACAGGTCGTTTCTTTTTTTTTCTTTTTTTTTTGCTGAATAATATTCCACTATGTGGATGTACCATAGTTTATCCATTCATCTATTAATGAATGTCTTGGTTACTTCCAATTTTTGGCAATTATGAATAAAGCTGCTATAAATATTTTGTAAAGATTTTGTGTGAACATAACTTTTCAACTCATTTACATAAAGACCAAAGAGGACAGTTGCTGGATCGTACAGTAAGACTGTGTTTAGCTTTGTAAGAAACTGCCACTTGTCTGCCAACGTGACTCTACCATTCTGCGTTCCCACCAGCAGTGAGTGAGCCTTCCTGTTGCCCCACAACCTCAACAGCATTTGGTTGTGTTGCCATTCTGGATTTTAGCGATTCTTCATTGGTGTGTAGTGGTGTCTCATGTTCTAAGGACATGAGGTTGAGCATCTTTTCATATGCTTATTTACTCTCCTTGTATCTTTTTTCATGAGGTGTCTGTTCAGACCTTTTGCCCACTTTTTTTAAACATTGCAAAATCATTTTCCAGGAGACAGACTATGAAATGTGGGAGGAAGGAGGTGAAGTTACCAAAATGATACACCAACAAAAGTCCATAGCTGTTTAACATATCCTTTCACAGGCAGTTTTGCTGACCTTATCACAGCTAGGGCGTAAGGTTAACTGTATTGCAAACCCAGGGCTGATCGCTATAATGGATGTTGCTAGAAAATCCTGGACACGTGCGCCCAGACTTGTCCCCTTCCAGATAAGGCTGCACTCCTTGGCACGTCAGGCATCTCCTCTTGGGATCTTCCGTGATGGTCTCTCTAAATTCATTTCTTTCTTCTTTTTAGTATTGAAGTTGTATCTATTTATTTTAACTTGTATTTTAAGTTCAGCAGTACATGTACAGATTGTTACATAGGTAAACCTGTGTCTTGGGGGTTTGTTGTAGAGATTATTTCATTGCCCGCATATTAAGCCTAGTACCCATTAATAGCTCATGTCTTATTAGGTCCTGGCAGGCGACCGCCTCACCACAGCCAGGTACCATAGGAGCTGCCTACATGTCCCTAGCCTCAATACACTGTGAGCCTGTGAACTCCTCCCTGTGGTTCACATAACAGTTCTCTTGTTTCTTCTAAAACTCTCCCTTATCCACTCCTGTGATAAGTTATAGTCCTAGAAACCACTGCTGTGCTTTGTGTGTATTAAATCACGTCCTGTAACACTATAAGCAAGAGGATAATGTGTTTCCGACTTTATTTGTGAGAAAACAGAAACACCTAGAACTGAATTAATATGCCCGACCTAGTGGAGCTAGTGCACAATCTGACCCTGGGTTATCCTGGCTTCTGGCCTCTGTTGTCTCCCATGCACCTGAAGTTAAGAGTCTCTTATTTGTCTCTTCTGTATATTAAGACCATTCTGAGCATGGGTCAAATGGGCATTTTTCCCTCTCCTGATTTCAGTCTTTGTTTCTTTCTCTTGTTTGTGATCTCCTTGATGAGAAGAATTCTGCATCTCATATCCTTAGCATCTATGACAGTTCATGGAACGTGGCTGGTGTTTAAAAAATGTGATGAATAAATATGTAATTTAAATTGTTAAAGTAATTAATCAGTTGTCATTAAAAAACTAAAAGTTAAAACCAATAGTAGATAGGACAGATGTGAAATACACATTTTATTCCTTAGAAACTAAGTTAGGGGACATTAAGCAATGGTTGCACTTACAAGATATCTGGGCTGGATATGGTGGCTCATGCCTGTAATCCCAGCACTTTGGGAGGCCGAAGAGAGTGGATCACGAGGTCAGCAGTTCAAGATCAACCTGGCCAAGATGGTGAAACCCTGTCTCTACTAAGAATACACAAAATTAGCTGGCTGCAGTGGCGGGCACCTGTAATCCCAGCTACCTGAGAGGCTGAAGCAGGAGAATCACTTGAACTCAGGAGGCAGAGGTTGCAGTTAGCCAAGATCCTGCCACTGCACTCTAGCCTGGTGACAGAGCAAGACTCGGTCTGAAAAAAAAAAAAAAAAAAAATTGGTACCTGAGTATCGTAAATTGACCTGGAAAGACAGACAACAATTTTGTGGCAAAGGCAATTGGCATTCACTTCCTGTTGCTACTTAATGACGATCACAGACATAGTGGCTTAAAGCAGCATGAATGAATGATCTCACGGTGTCTGTGGGTCGTAGTCTGGGCAAGGCATGGCTGGGCACCCTGCTTACGACCTCACAAGGCTGCAAGTCAGGTGGCAGCCTGACTATGTTCTCCTCTCAGGCTTTACTAAAGAAGGATCTGCTTTTCATGGCAAACATCTCACACCGCGGCAGCTGCTTCTTCCCTGCCAGCCAGGGTGTGAGCAGGGAGGGTGCTGCAATCTCACCTGCCAGATCAAACATAGGTGCTCACACGCATGCCGTCACCTTAGCTCCTTGTTGACCAGAAGCAAGTCACAGGCCATGCCACACTAAAGAGAAGGTATGACTCCAGAAGGCAGGGATGGGGAGGGTGGCACCTTCATAGCCTGTCTGCCACACAATCATTGAGAGTAATTCTTTACATATTCCAACCACCTCTCGTTTCTGGTGGGGCATATGGTGTTCCCCTCAGCACCCATTTTATAGTTTTTGAACATATAAAAAGACTTTGAGCATCACTTTGAAGAATGGTAAATGTTTTGGTGGGGATTGCATGTGAAATATACATGGATGTGTGTAAGCAAACAACAGCAAAATACTCAAATAAGTTTTTCCTTATGCATTGAATCTTTGAGACATTTTCCCAGAACTTTCTGCAGCTCCTTGCTTATTCTTAGAAAAAGGAGGGCACCTTAAGTAGAAAATATGTAAGAAGTATTTAGTAGACTGGGTGCAGTGTGTCACGCCTGTTATCCCAGCATTTTGGGAGGCCGAGGCAGGTAGATCACCTGAGGTCAGGAGTTTGAGACCAGCCTGGCCGACATGGTGAAACCCCGTCTCTACTAAAAATACAAAAAATTAGCTGTGTGTGGTGGCACGCACCTGTATTCCCAGCTACTCAGGAGGCTGAGACAGGGGAATTGCTTGAAGCTGGGAGGCGGACGTGCAGTGAGCCAAGATCGCGCCACTGCACTTCAGCCTGGGTGAAAGAGCAAGACTCAGTCTCAAAAATAAAAAAATGTTTAGTAATTGCTGAAGGCATGCACATTCTGCAGGAAAGGATTTCTGTCGTTTTATCATAAGGACAGGGGAATCAGGAAGGAACTGGCGATCTCTTTGCAGAGAGGAAATATGGACATAGAGTATTTCCTTTTTGGATACGCAGGACGCGGGTCATAGCTGACTTCTGAGGGCCCATTTGGTGCTGGGGATGCTGACAGATGCCACATATCCACACTTTTCACCCCCCCCACCGCCATGATTATGTAATTCTTTGGTGTTCCTTTTTAGAGGATGTAAGGGAGTATTTTGCTATAGATTGGATGTGTTAAAGCACAGGAATTGAAAGCAGCAAATCTGGAGATAAATTTTTGGGGCTCTGCTGCCGACTCCACCAGTTTAAAAACATTGTAGAAATCCAATGTTTGATTCAGAGTAGGGTGACTACTGTCACCACTAGTTTATTTTGTGAATATTCATTTGAGCATACTACTTCACCTCTGCCCTCTGTAAAACAGAGGCAACGAGATCAAGCCCCCCACAGGTTATTGTGAGGATTAAACAAGTTTCTATATGTCAAGTGTTCAGAATACACTTGGATATCATAAGCACTTTACACATGTTAACTACTCCTGTGGTTATATGAAGTAGAGGTCTTTCAGGGCATTTCAGCTCCCAGGGAGTCTTATTCATTTTGAGCTGCTGTAACAAAATACCATTAAGTTGTTGGATTATAAACAACATAAACTTATTTCTCACAGTTCTGGAAGCTGTAAGTCGAAGATCAAGGTGCCAGCAAATTCGATGTCTGGGGAGACCCTGCTTTCTTATTTATAGATGGTGCCTTCTAGCTGTGTCCTCACATGGCAGAGACAGAAAGAGACAAGGGCTCCATCCTCATGACCTACTCACCTCCAGAAAGCCCCATCTCATAATAGCATCACCTTAATGGGTAGGATTTTCACATATACATTTCGGAGGGACGCAAACATTCAGTCTACGACACAGGGTTTCATATCATTCATTTGATTTTCATTTGTCTATTTAATCCCTCCCAATCTTAAGTGTCTGGTTTTACAGATAAATGGAAATAAAGACATGTTTAGCCCTTGTTATCTCTCTCTTGCCTAAGTTAATTAATTTTTGTAAGTATATTTAGGACATTTTCTTTAGACGATTAAGGCAGTTAGACTGAGTACACTTTATTTTTATATCCTCTAAACAGGCATTTTGGCAAAATTTTTTAAATGGACTTAATTATTTTACAGAAAAATCCTTTTTTTGAAACAAAATCAAGGGTGTGCCTTATTTCTACTTTAATTTTGAAACTTCACAATAGCAAAGACTTGGAACCAACCCAAATGTCCAACAATGATAGACTGGATTAAGAAAATGTGGCACATGTACACCATGGAATACTATGCAGCCATAAAATATGATGACTTCATGTCCTTTGTAGGGACATGGATGAAATTGGAAATCAGCATTCTCAGTAATGTATCGCAAGAACGAAAAACCAAACACTGCATGTTCTCACTCATAGATGGGAACTGAACAATGAGAACGCATGGACACAGGAAGGGGAACATCACACTCTGGGGACTGTTGTGGGGAGAGGGGAGGGATAGCATTAGGAGATATACCTAATGCTAAATGACGAGTTAATGGGTGCACCGCACCGGCATGGCACATGTATACATATGTAACAAACCGGCACATTGTGCACATGTACCCTAAAACTTAAAGTATAATAATAATAATAAAAAAGAAAGAAACTTCATCATTATTACACATTGCTTGAAATAGTGCCTTATATGATCTGGTATTCTTCCTTGAGGCTAAGATGGCAAAAAGAAAAAAAATTCTCCAACTTAATTAGAAAGCGGAAAGATATTACAATTCTCTTCAGTGGAACTTTGTTTAGCCTCAGCACCTCGATGTGGAAGGCGTGTGTAGCCGTCAGCTGTGCATCTCTCTCTGTGAGCTACCATTTAGGACCCTGCCTGCTTGACAAGCTTTAATTAAATTCTAATTCCCCCTTCTTCTTGCTTTTTATCTTAGGTGCAACATTGTGAGCTTGATGTGTAATTAATAACAATAGCCAAGTGGAACTTTTGCAGGCACCTTTGCAGCAGAGCAGAGGCAGTTTTCAGGATCGTTTATCACTCAGGTTCTTCGTATCAGGCAGTGGCTTTCTTCCATGAAGGGGAACCCTCTTTGTACATTTTTCTTTGTATTTCACTTTTGCTTAATTCAAAGTGGCCAAACTTCAGTTTCCCCATCTATATGTATGTCACAGTGTTTAGGTCACTGAGTCGTATTTATATAAATAAAGTTTCAGAAAGATGGACTTCTTATATATGCATTGATAAGCTTCTGTTATGCTTACTTCAAAAATATTACTAAACAGATAAAAATGTACAATATAAACATCACTAATTTTTAAAATCTAAAACTAATATAAAGGAAGAAATATTTTTAAAATATATAGTAGTTCACAACTATATTATAATTAAATATAAATCATGTTATGATTCCTGGAAGTAAAAATGAGAAGGAGATATACATGTTTAAGATGCAACCTGGTAGAATCGTCGCAAATTACTGTTATTTGTAGCTAGGGGGATAAAAGCTCTATGTGCCTATGTTTGCGTGTGCGTATATATATATATATATATATATATATGTATGTATATATATATATATGTATGTATATATATATATATATATATGTATGTATATATATATATATATATGTATGTATATATATATATGTATGTATATATATATATATGTATGTATATATATATATATGTATGTATATATACATACATATATATGTATGATGAAAGAGAAAGAGAAATTTAATTTTAATACTTAGATATTATTACTTTATGAAGTCAGGATTGCTAGAAAAAAATAATTGCTATTACATAAGGAGGGATTCACAAGCAGATCTTCCAGTGTGTATCAATATCAGAGTGATGAACTTTGTGGCTACAAAATAATTGAAATGAACTTCCTGGCTGCCAGGAAATCCACTTCTTACTCCCTGGTCAGAGTGAAATGTCACCATAATGGGGTTTTTGACATTTGCGTTTATATGTTGCCACATTTTGGAATTTGCCATTTCTTTTGTCAGTAGCAGATGCATTTCAGTATGTCACCAACTTTGGAAAAGTAAAGCCATTGGATTTATTGGGATTAAGATTATGTACTTATTTTGGGATTTCTTTTGTTAATTTGTTAACAGCTTGATTTTGGTCAGCCTCATTTACCTGGGCTCTGCGATAGCATACAAGATCAATTTTAATAGTAGAAAGCATTATCCATTTTCTAGCTTGAACATCCATGGATAGAAGTGGCAAGAAATAAAGTCACCCAATTATAAGAATATTGCCATTCCATTAAGGGACTATTGATGGTAAGATCAGGAACTGAAGAAGCAGGCTTGCTGCCCAGCCCAGACACATATTTGAAGGAACTTGTGAATCCATAGAAGCCCTTCCTCTCTCTGTGAGAGTCAGTTTATCAGGCCCCGTCTGTAGGGCAATGGTTTCATTTGGTGTTAACTCAAGTGAAAGACAAAAATGAAGACAGGTTGTTTGAAGAGTTTGGTTGGTAAAAATTTCAACTGGGGATAAATGTTCTCAGCTGACAGGCGTTCCAAGCAAGTTTGAACATGATGGTGCTTCATCTTTTCTCAAGGGATGAAAAGTAGGATCCTAGAGGTGAAGAAGTATTAAGGACACTCTCTTTATACAAATCAGTAGACATCTAAGGAAATGCATACAGCCTATGCCGAAGACCTTATTTGGAAAAACCTGAATACAGACCCTCTCTCAGCATCTCCTTTCTGTGTGGGTAGAAATGAGTAGAAAATGGGAAGAAAGCCATATGTCATAGTGACTCTTTCTTTTTTTTTTTTTTTTTTTTTTTTTTTTTTTTTTTTTTTTGAGGCAGAGTCTCACTCTGTCAACCAGGTTGGAGTGCTGGAGTGCAGTGGCACGATCTCGGCTCACTGCAACCTCTGCCTCCCGGGTTCACGCCATTCTCCCGCCTCAGCCTCCCGAGTAGTTGGGACTACAGGCGCCTGCCACCATGCCCGGCTAATTTTTTTTTGTATTTTTTAGTAGAGACGGGGTTTCACCGTGTTAGCCAGGATGGTCTCGATCTCCTGACCTCGTGATCCGCCCGTCTCTGCCTCCCAAAGTGCTGAGATTACAGGCGTGAGCCATCGTGCCCGGTGACTTTTCCTCTTTCAATATCTTCCCAGGTAGGGACCATGCAGGAAGATGTGTCTCACTTTCCCTCTCATAGAGCAGGTCACGTCAGCCCTCCAAGTTGATACCTGAGAGAGCGAGTGATGAATCTGTGTATTCAGTATGACTCTGAGTGTGGGGTGTTGTGAGATGGACTTACCAAACTTGCTTAAGATCCCCTGTTCTCTTTTGTGCCTCCTTCAAATTGCCCAAGTACTGACTGAAATAAAGAAGGAAAACCCCCATCCCTCTCTGTGTCTTCTGGTTCTGATATAGTTCGTGAATGAGAGAGTGTTCATAATGTAAGTAAACCCCACCTTTCTCTTTCTCTCAATGTTAAAATTTTTTAAATCCAGATAACTTAGAAATGATCAGGACAGAGGGACAAAACAAAATGAAACCTTGTTCCTAGAAGAAAATCCTTCCATAGAATTTTTGAAAACAATCAGAAAGCAAGGTTTTTTTTTTTTTTTTCGTGTCATCCAAGCTGCAGTCCAATCACTCCACTGATAAGGGAAGCGGCCTCCACAAATCCTTCTAGCCTTTGTTGTGGAACCTCATGACCCCAGCTCTCCTGTTTAACAGACACCCTTTCATTTTGAACTGATGCTGAGGTATTGCTTGGCAGACTAAGAAATGTCTAATGCAGCCCTATCATCCAACAGGCAATGGGATGTTTCTCCCAGGGCTGTGCTCTCTCCGAAAACGCAGGACTGTCAATGAGAGACAACGACATTATACAACAAAGTGAGCCATGATGCTTGGCCTGAATAAGCAAACCCTTTCGGTTCATTTTTGACTTACTCTAAGTATTGTGAAACACCCAGAAATATTTTGTTATTTTCTAGAGTTTTTGAAACCTTCACAAACCAACCCATATTAATAAAATTTTAAATGGTAAACCAGTTCTTAATTATTTATTTTGTTCAGGATTATTTTCTAGAACTGTTTGAACCTTTCTTTTTCTTCATGACAAGCAAAATCAGTGCTTTTCTTACAAAAATGGATTAAATATGTGTTTAGCCCAAAAATCACATTTTGCTGTTTTAAATTAGTCTTAGCTGCACCTATGCTTGTATTGAAAATGAATCACCTATTTGATTTCAATATCCTTGAGAGAAAACCAATATAAGTTTTGGTGTCCTTGTCACTCATGTTTGTATGACTTTCATACATCATACATTATTGCTTTATCGATTAGAAGTCTGTTATATTAAAGCATTGGGGTTTTCTAAATGGTAATGACTTGTTTTTATCTTTAGATGTAATTAGCTAGCTTTAGAAAATGTAGCAGCATTAAGCAAAATAATTTATCTACTGGTGTATTTGTTCATTTTCATGCTGCCGATAAACACATATCCGAGACTGGTCTATTCCCAAAAGAAAGAGGTTTATTGGACTCACAGTTCCACATGGCTGGGGAGGCCTCACAGTCATGGTGGAAGGTGAAAGGCACTTCTCACTTGGTGGTGGCAAGAGAGAGAATGAGAACCAAGTGAAATGGATTACCCCTTATCAAACCATCGGATCTCATGAGACTTATCCACCACCAGGAGAACAGTATGGGGGAGACTGCCCCTGTCATTCAATTATCTCCCACAACACATGGGAATTATGGGAGTCCAATCCAAGATGAGATTTCGGTGGGGACGCAGAGCCAAACCAATCAATTGCTAAACTATTTTACTACCTAACTCCATTACTCTATTTTCATTTTTGCATGTTTTATACCTACGCCTCCCATACTTACTAAAAATTAATATATTTGGAAAATTTTACATACATGCCCCTACTTTATGAAGTTCCTTAAAAAAACATAAATAGCAAATTAAGAGTTTTAGTATTGATTTGCATTTCTTTAATGAGATACTGTCTCACACCAGTCAGAATGGCTATTTTAAACAAGTCAAAAAATAACAGATGCTGGCAAGGTTGTGGCTAAAAAGGAATCCTTTTACACTGTTGGTGGGAGTGTAAATTATTTCAGCCATTGTGGAAGACAGTGTGGAAACTCCTCAAAGACCTAAATTCAGAAATAACATTCAATCCAGCAATCCCATTACTGGGTGTATACCCAAAGGAATATAAAACATTCTACCACAAAGACACGTGCACATGTGTGTTCATTGCAACACTATTCACAATAGCAAAGACATGGAGTCAACCTAAATGCCCATCAATAATAGACTGGGTAGAGAAAATATGGTACATACACACCATGGAGTACTATGCAGCCATAAGAACAAATAAGATCATGTCCTTTGCAGGAGCATGGATGGAGCTGGAGGCCATTATCCTTAGCAAACTAACTCAGGAACAGAAAACCGAATACCGCATGTTCTCACTTATAAATGGGAGCTGAATGAAGAGATCCCATGGACACACAGAGAGGAACAACACACACTGGGGGCTATAAGGGTGGAGGATGGGAGAAGGGAGAGGATCTGGAAAAATAATTACTGGGTACTTGGCTTAATACTTGGGGGGTGAAATAATCTATACAGCAAACCCCCATGACACAAGTTTACTTATGTAACCTGCTCATGTACCCCTGAACTTAAAAGTTTTTTAAAAGAGAGTTATTGTATTGCTACCTTTGTATCAATGATTTTGTATACAGTCATAAAGGTGGCCATGGAAGGGTGTGGCAGGAGAATTCATAAATCTCTGGAAAGACTTGTACTGATAAAGCCTATATAATATAGCAGCTAAGAGTAATGGATCATAAAGCCAGGCTTCTGCATTCTGTTGTTTCCACACCTCAAGTCACTTTGATCAAGCTACTTGATCTCATTGTGCTACAGTTTCCTGACTTCTAAAATAGAAGTAGGTGGAGTACCTACCTCCTGGGATTATTAAAATTAAACAAGTTAATCCCATTATGTGCTCACAATAGTCTCTGGCATATACTAGGCACAGTATCTAATATTTACTTCTTTAAGCTTAAAGAAGTAGTCTAATATATGGAACAAACCAAATAGACTGAGTCCTGAAGCATTTACAAGGTCTGTGGACTCAGGTATTTAACCTCTTGGTGCTTTTATTTCCTCATGTGTTAAAGTTTATTTTATAAGGATTAGATGAGATCACACGTGAAAAATATTAGCTTAGTCCGTCACCAAATAAAAACAGGTTAATTCCTTCTCTATCTTTAAAACAGCAAATGAGAAGATATTTGATCAAATCTCATATGCCTTCCCATGCTGAACACATCATTATTTTATCTCCCACTAAGAAAAAATAAAACACTGCCAATTCAACTGTGATCCAAGGTCTCCTTAGCATTGAGATGTCTCATTTTATATTTATTGAAATAACCCTTTTGATAGATTAAGCTATAGACTTTAATGCATTATAATTAAAAATGGGAAAGATAAGGGTCAGTGTGATAGGGCTGGCACAGCAGGAAAATGTGCATGGGCACGTACAAATCTAAATTTGGACTCTTAGGTCTGCTGATAGGAAGGTAAAGCTAAACAAGCACAATTGACTATAATCTGGAACTGATGTGTATTCGGAATCTTACATGTGTGGCTCTCAAGCCTTGAGATGCTCATTGTAAATAAGGCTGGAGTGGAAAAGGCAGTTTCCTACTTAGGTGATATTTAGATATATTCATATCTTGTCACTACTTGGGTTGGGAGAGAAATAGAAACAAATAGCTGTTTTATTGTGAAGGTTTCAAAAATCACTGCACCAAAGAATCACCTGGGGAAGACTGTTAATAGGTAGATTTCTAGGGCCAGTCACTAAGATGATGAACTCAACAACTAGGGATGTACCCCAGGAATCTAGATCTTTAACCAGGGACCCAGGGATTAATGACAATGGTGTGACAAAACCTGAATGTGGCAGTCGGCCTCAGGAAACACAGCTCAATATTAATTGGTTCCTGAGTCCTCGTCTTCAACATATAATGCAGTATATTTTGAAACCTCAAAAAAGTGGATTCTATACCAGGTGGTTGTCAGAAAGAGATGGATACACAGCTACACAAGGACCCATAGGGAGTTAGTAAATGCAAGCCTATTTTAGAGAATGGCCCACAGACGTGTTTGTTTCTCATGCATTCTTGGTTTTGTAAGGTGAAGCTAAACCGTGCTGATTGCAGTAACAGGACCTCCGCTTGACGCATGGTGCAAAAAGGCGGAGAAATTTCCGTCCACCAAGTATCTGGTTGTCTAATACAACTAGCTGAGGCCCCTGCTTTTTTATGAGAGTAGAAGGTTATGCTCGCAATAGACTCGAGATAAGGATGTTAACGCGCTTTACAAACTTAAATTAAGGCTCAAATATTCTAGTGAGAAATGTAATTTTCTCAGCTAACAGGTGAACCAGTTTCTCAAAGGCTGCAGAAACACACAGGTTAAGTGATTTGTGCAAATTCATCCTGGGGGTCAACTCAGAGCTACCCTAGACATGAGAAGTCCTGCTTTTTCCTTACAGCAGTAATTTCCTTCTCGGTTTTTTTTTGTTTTTTTTTTTTTGTGAGATAACAATGCACTCTCGTGGTATTAGGAAAATAGTAGAAAACAGATTCTCAATGAAACAGCACAGAACAAAGTTCCTTTTAACTGGTCATGGTTCAGCTACTTCAAACTTCTCTAACAGAACTCACGACCACATTCTCCAGGGAGAATGATAGGATAAGTATGTTTGCTTTATCCAGTTTGCTTTTTTTTGTTGACTTTTTATTTTTTTTTTTTTTTGAGACAGAGACTTGCTGTGTCACCCAGGCTGGAATGCAGTGGCTCCATCTCGGCTCACTGCAACCTCTGCCTCCCAGGTTCAAGCAATTCTCCTGCCTCAGCCTCCCGAGTAGCTGGAACTAAAGGAGTGGGCGCCACCACGCCTGGCTAATTTTTGTGTTTTCAGTAGAGAACGGGGTTTCTCTAATTCTCAGTAGAGAATTAGCTTCTAAGGAAGCTAATTTTTGTATTTTTAGTAGAGACGGGGTTTCACCATGTTGGCCAGGATGGTCTCTCTCTCCTGACCTCGTGGTCTACCCACCTGGATCTCCCAAAGTGCTGGGATTACAGGCGTGAGCCACTGCACCCAGCTGGAAAGTCATTTTTAAAGCAGTCAACTAAAATTTTAGAGAAAAATGTTATTTGTGCTCTGGAAGTGAAACGAGTGATCAATGAGTAAATAAGAGGCAAAGGTATTTATGAAACTACTGAGAATCCATTAAGGTCTTTGTTATTTTGGTTGTATGGTAAGTTGCACCAAATATATTGTTTTGTTTTGTTTTCTGGTTTCTTAATTACTGAAGTGAAAGCTCTACCTGCTAACTATAATCAATTTTGTAACCGGACATATGTGGTAAAGTGCAGCTGTTCAACTGTATAAAATTCCTTTTTCATACTTACCAAGAAAAACACATTCACAAGCAAACAAATGCAACTTTGATTTATTCCTGAGATAATATGCTGGCAATATTAATATGTAATTCCAGGGGTATCTTCTCAGGGCTCTGAAGACATTTCAAGGTTGTGGACCCATTATTATTTATGTATTTATTTATAAATTAACCTTATTAAAGAATTGTAATTTTCTCTATGCCAGAAAATAGATATAACTGTGTCTTATTTCTTTACACACGTAAACATTTGAATAGCATTGAGCCCCTGCCATACTCTGTGTTATCTTCCCTAGGAATTGCAACAGTGTTTTAGTGTAGGAATTATCGTTCCTTTTGGGGGAATTAATAAACTAAGGTTGAGAAAATTTCCGTGAATTAAGGTCAGTCAAGTACAATTGCCAGAAACTAAATTAAATTTCCATTTGTCTGCTTTTTAAGTCTAGCCCTGTTTTCAAAAATCTAAGTATGGATGTCAAAGCATATGAAATATGTTGAAACTATTCTCCAAAGAATATTTAAATATTTTGAATGCCATTAAAATTTGTTACATATTTTATGAATTTCTATGAGCTAAGGAAAAAGTGTGCATTTTGGAGAAGAATCAGCTTTACAAGTAACCAGTTAACATGCACCATGGCCATATAAAATTAACTTGACATTAGAAAATTTATAGTTTCCTCTCTGATAGTTTATAACGCCCTGCCAATAATACTTTCTTTTGCTTCATTATTAATGTCGTTTACTATCATCAATATCGGTACATTAAATGGAAGGCAGTGTATTAAATTTTCTTTGATTTATACATCTACTTTCAGTTTTTTTGGGGGGGAAAGCTAATGAAGAAACTATTGATTCAATTTTTATCTAAAGGCATTTGTGACTTACTGACAAGATATATAACTTTACAAAGTATTTCAATACTTTGGACTTGTGTGTTTCAAATCTTAATATTTCCCAGAGCTTAGAAGATGTAAAAATAAATTAAACTGTCACATGAGGCAACTCATGTTGCTTTGAGTTGCTTTTTACTATTTTCAACCTTAGGAGCAAATTGGGAAATAAGCATTTCTAAGGAAGCTTTTCAGTATTAACATGAAGTGAATCATTTGGCGAGTGAAAGAATATAAAAAGAGGGGAAGAAGGAAAGTAAGAAAATTGCCCATCTTTGCTGTTACAGGCACTAGGCCTGTGAACGTAACAGCCAGGGGTAGGTCTTATGGCCCCATAAAAAAACAGGTTAAAATCAGTTTTAACTCGGGGAGTGCTACAGAGGAGATGAAAGTGAATGGTAGTAGAATTCACTGAGTTCCCGGTACTTAACAGTTTTCTGCATGGATAGAAATGGATGGAATGCATGAATATTTATTGCATAGCTATCATGCGCCAGGCAAAAATTGATCAGGTATCAGGTTTTGCCACCAGTTATAAATGAGGATTATGAGATTTTCAGAATTTATGTCCAGTTAAAGCAAACAAACCAAAAATATAATACAGCACATACTAACCAAATCTGTAGCCACCTTAATAAAAGTTCTCACTTAAAATACAGTATTGTGAGTAAGAGGTTTGGACAAGAATGGCTTTTGGTATGTGCATAATTGACAAAGGTTGTTTCAGTCTATCCTTTGGGGACATGCCTTGCGTCACTTCCAGTACCCAGTCAACGATTTCTTAGATATCTCACAGTGCCTTTCTCTGTGCAGAAGTCAGTTTAAATAGGAACTTCTCAACTCGCAATTTTTAAAAAAAGATGTACATTTAAACTGTGTGTGTCATAGAGCATCGTGTGAAAATGCCAGGCCACTCACGTAATGCTGCATTTTAATTATAGTGATTAAATATAAATATCTGAAAATCATGTGTTTTACCAGACTCAGTTTCTGAGCCCCCCAATTTTGCTCAGCACCAAGTCCCCGAGACTGATCGAGGCGTTGCCGATGGCTTGTGGAGAGCCCCTCGGCTGCCATGACAGCCTAACTCCTTCCAGCACCAACGCCTCGGCTTCCCCACGGTGAGGACCAGCTCAGCCTCCACCGTCCACACCTTAGTGGGAGCTGCAGTGGCTCTAGCCCTAGGTAGCTCTGTCACTGGGAGCCCTCTCACCTGGGCTGGGCTCAGCTGGAGGTGTCTGCGCAGGAAGACAGTGGGATAAGGAAGGGTCACAGAATGCCCACTGGATAAACTGTGACTCTTAAGAGACAGGTGGTGGGAAGGAGTGCTCACACCTGCTCTTCCCTCTCCCTGACACAGCTGCAAGGCTGGGGTCCCACCAGCCCTGCGGGAGGGAAATCCCTGTAACCACAGCCACCTGTCCATCCTAGGCAGCCAGCAATTGGCATTCAGCAGCACACCTCATGCTTTTCTTTACCTACCTTCCCTGCTTCATTTCTTTCTCTTTTCACCCTTGATTCCCTGGGATTTTTCCTTCACAAAAAAGCCTGTAGTTTATGTTTTGACTGAAGCTTTTTTCGTAAGGAATCCAGGGAAGTACGGTGATGGGTTTTGATGGAGGACTTCATGTGTCAGGTGCTCTCTGTGCCATCTAATCCTTACATATGAACAAACGGAGGTATAGAAATTAAGAAAGCTATTCATAAAGTGAGTGGTGAAATCGGGACTTGAACTGGCATTTGACCTGGGAGTCCACAGCCTTGGGATGGTGTTAGACTATGAGTTGCTATTTCTAAAGGCAGTCTCAAACCCTCAGTGTTTTACTAAAAGTGTTGTGGAGACCTATTTGATTATGTTTTATTTTAAAATCCCTTTCTGTTTTATAAATACATATTTTAGAACTCCGAAAAGTAGTGATGATGTTCAATTTCAGTATTAATTCAGATGAGTATTCCCAAATTATATGATTTTACCATATGTATATATGACTACATTTAAAAGAAGCTGAATTAATCACACTTAACTACCAAAATTCCAAAATGTAAAGCCAAAATTGTGCTGAATACTAATACCATATTCTTATGATCCTAAATTTGACATGTGAAATTTCGTGTTAGAATAGATACATGCTTATAAACATCCGGTCTCTATCATGATGAATAAAAAGTATAATATCTTCTAGCATATCTTTTTTTAAAAAAGTTTTATTTTCTGTTAAAAAGAAATTATCAGTTATGCTGGTGAAGCAAACTATATTTTAATTGGAAGATTACACAAGAGACTTTTAATAGTTAATGTAACTTGTTTATAAATTTAATCTATTATGTATTAAATATATATAATTAAATTGAAAAAATCACACTGTCTTAACCAGAAATTTTCTAAATAATACATTGCTTTTGTCTGCTGATTAATTACGGAAAATGAAAGATATGACTGTGCAAATAAACAAAAATACAGACAACAAAATGAAACCAACAGCAATAACACCAACAAAGTATAATAAAAGAGCCAGGTGAGGTGGCTCAAGCCTGTAATTCCAGCACTTTCGGAGCGTAAGGCAGGTGGATCACCTGAGGTCAGGAGTTTGAGACCAGCCTGGTCAACATAATGAAATCCCATCTGTACTAAAAATACAAAAATTAGCTGTGTGTGGTGGTGCACGCCTGTAATCCCAGCTACTCGGGAGGCTGATGCAGGAGAATCCCTTGAACCCAGAGGCAGCTGCAGTGAGCTGAGATCATGCCACTGCACTCCAGCCTGGGTGACAAAGGGCGACTCCGTCTCGAAGAAAAGAAAAAAGAAAAAGAAAAAGAAAAAAAACCCTAAGAAAAGAACGTTGTGCCTGGGTGGTATTTAAGACGTATAGGTTGCAAGATAGATGAAACTTTCTAGTTATCTCTGAGTCCATGTTTTTCTCTAAAAAACACAATTCTGGGTTCTCTGTATCGAGAATCAAATGGGGTTGCCTTCCATATGATGCCACAGGTGAATATTAAAAAAGAGAAACACTCAACAAGTTTTCAGGATCATAACACATTTGATATTGTTCATACATTAACTCTTTATTAATATACTGCTTCTGTCTTATGAAGCTATCACAATTTGGAGACATGCTTGTAATATTTAGATTTCAAACTATTATGGATATAGAAATGGAGTGAGAGAGGGAGGGAGGAAATAGATAAACAGTATTGAATGCCATCCACAACTTTTAAGATATATATTCACAGCCCTGTATTATAGGCAACCATAATCATATCAATAGGCTTGCTTAATACTAGCCTAAACATAATAAAGCATCCTAAAACACATATCCATTTTTCAAATGCTTAAAAATAAATACAGTTAATCCTTGAATAACACAGAGGTTAGGACACTGACCCCTTATGCATTGAAAAATCCACATAAAACTTTCAACTCCCCCAAAACGTAATTACTAACAGCCTGTAGTTGACCAGGAATCTTACAGATAACACAAACCGTCAATTAACACATTTTGTATGTTATATGTATAGTCTTACAAGAAAGTAAGCTAGAGAAAATAATGTTAAGAAAGTCATAAGGAAGAGAAAATATATTTACTATTGATTAAGTGGAAGGGGTCACAAAATTCTTCCTCCTCATGGTCTTCATGCTGAGTAGGCTGGGGAGGAGAAACAGGAGGTGTGGTATTTGCTGTCTCCGGATGGCAGAGGGAGAAGAAAGTCCACGTGGGAGTAAACTGCTCAGTTGAGATCCACGTTGTTGTTCAACGTCAACTGTGTAAGAGTTTACTCTGTAATTCCTGAGGGCACCCAGGAATGGGTTACGTAGTAGCTCACACAGAAACACCGCCTAAAGGTTCTCTTTAGAGCTCTCACTCTCAAAAGTGCTAAACCCCATGACATCTGCTCAAAGTTTGTACTAATCTGCTCTCTAAGACTGCAGCCCTTAGCAACTTTGATTTTCCATTTTCAGTCTCTCTCCATTCTACAGAATTTCTTTTTCACTTCTATGACCCTCTGCCTTTCTTAGACCAATTCTCTGTCCTCCTCTTATTCTAATCAGCTCAAGTTAGACAACACCAGCATAAAATCTTCCTTATAATGTCTGAGTGGTATGTTTTTTTTCTATTTGGAACGTTAATCTGTCACCTTGCTGAACTATTTATAAACATAAACATAATTTAAATTTATGTCTCGTGTTATACCTATAATAAACAACTTGTAGGCCGTTCTTA
Organism: Homo sapiens; assembly: GCF_000001405.40. Lineage (NCBI taxonomy): Eukaryota > Metazoa > Chordata > Mammalia > Primates > Hominidae > Homo > Homo sapiens. The sequence continues at coordinate 4,474,199 of NC_000008.11, read as the reverse complement.
CATTTAAATTTTCACTTACGAAGATTATTTCCATGTGTGGAAATTGTGTTGTAAGGCAGGCAAATTTATCATTTTCAATCTCTCTAGTTTCTTTTTGTGTATGTTCGTTTAGATTGTAATTGCATACATTATACGTTTGCATATATTTGCTTTTATTTCTTTGATAGTATCTCTTATTTAATGGATTGGGTCTTTCTGAAATTAATTTTTTGTGTCTCTTTTGACACAGGTACCTAAATCCTCCCCCCAGTAGAAAACCATTTGCTTTAATATTATTTATTGATTAGTTTGTTCTTTTTCACTGATTTGAAAAGCTACCTCTCTCATATATTAAATTCTTATATATGCTACGATCATTTGCGTGTTCCTATTTGACAATTCTATCTCTATTTTTCTGTCATTTTATAAGATAATAGGTTAAAAGAAAACCCAAAGCCATTTGGTTGAAAAGAAACTAACATTTATGTGTTACTACATGCTACACATTCCTGCATACCTTACATCATTTAATTTTGACAGTTACCTAGAGTCATATGCTCTTTGTTTTCACAGATAAAGGAAACTAAACTCCCCAAGTTTAGGTAAAGTGATGTACAATGTCATCTTGTCCGTATTTGTGCATAACTACTATTGATATGGAGAGGCAGAAGTACAAGAAAAAGGCATAGCCTAATTGCAAAGCAGGTGCAAGAGGGGAGTGGGGGTTCTTTGGATTTGCAGACACTGGGTATTACTTTGTGAAATCCTTGCTTATGAAACAAAATAATACTCAGGTAAGCTGACTGGATTAAAGACTACCTACAATGAGAATGGGGTAAGCCAGCCACTTTCTCAACCTCAGATACCCCAATGGCATCAGGTTGTCTCTGCTGATTTTCCCTCCTTTTGTGTTAAGAACTCACATTGATTGTCATATTTCTAAATCCGAAAATGTAACCATGAGAGTTTACAATTTTACAAAATGGCTTAAAATTTAAAACTTTTTAATCATTTATAATTGAAATTTTAAGTCGTCATTGGTTTGGAAAATCATTGGAATTTTAAAATCTATATTCCAGGAATTTACTATAAGGTTGTAATTATCTAAATTCAAACACAAGTAGAGAAAATGTTACATAATTCAGGCCCATATCCTAAAATATCACTTAATGCAGAATTTGAATATTTTGACTTGTTTGAGGAATTTAAACAATATAATTTATGTGTACATATAAAAATAATATATATGAAATATAAATAGGTAATGTTACTGTAGATTTACATAGAATGGAGTGTAAATTATCAAAATATTATGGCAAAAATTTCTACTATAATTTTTCTAAAAGTGAATAACTATGTTTAATCATATGTCATCACACTTACAGAAAGGGTATATATACCAAATTTTTTAAGTATCTAAGATCAATGATATTGAATGGTATTTTAAAATAACTTTCTATATTAAAAGAAGTGAACGTCCACAGTTATGAAAGTAAAAGTGCTGTTTACACCTAATATGCTCATTTCAATATTTTCTTGATATAACAAAGCAATTAATATTTTATAAATTATTTGTTTAAAATTATTTTTCTTATTGTTTGCAGAATATCTTGTTAAATATTTTAACTTTTCAAAGTGATGATGAATAACTTTCTAATAGCTATTCTTTGGAATATAATTCTAAATACTGTTTTGGTATTTCCTTTTATTTTTTACAAAGCATAAATAAGGTTCCCCGGGTCCCTCTCATTTTATTCATCTGTTATTACCTTAAATATATGTCTATAAATGACATATACCTTTAAAATAAAAGTATTAAGAGACTACAGTGAAGCACTGTTACTACAGATCAAGTGATGGATGAAATAAACCAGGTACATACATGCTTTCTCTACTATTGGTAAGTTGTCAAGTAAAAATTAGAGCTTTACTTTTTTAATTATTAGAAGAGACTGCATCTGAGGCTGTGCAAAAGTGTAAGAACTATTCGATTTTAAAATAATTTTTGAGATTTCCTAAATAAGAGAAAAAATAACATTTTAATAAAAGTAAAATTAATATTTAAAAAGTATGACAATCAAGACACATCGATATTGAAGAAAGAATTAAAGCATTCTTTAGAACAGATCTCTGCTGACTGTGTCGAACAAGTTTCCCAGCTAAGCATTAAATCTGAGTTCCAATTATTTCTAGTTAAAAAATTGGAAGAAATGTTGATTCTTAGGGTTAGAGCAGATAATACGTATCGCTTAGAAGGCTTCCTATTCACTGTTTTGCACCCTCTATAAAGTCCCTGTTATTTCCTAATCATTGGAAACACCTTTGTAGCCTACCCACTGGAAACACCATTTTTTGTAGCCTAATCATTGAAAACACCTTCCTTGCAGCGTAGTCATTAGACACACCTGCCAGCTTCCTGTTAACATCTATATATTGCTCCTCAGTCTCCTTTGTGACGCTAAAGAAATGGGTCTAACTTCTTTTCTCCGCGTGTTTGCTGCATTTTTCTTTGAAGATGGGTCGTGTTCTCTCTGCGTTCGCTGGCCTTCCTCAACCAGGGTGAGCATTCCCAGTTCTTTCCAACCAGTCGCCGCAGAGTTAGGTGTAATGTTCTGGGTTGTTTTCTCCCTGCACCTCTCTCTAAAACGGGCCTTCGTTATTAAACACCATGCACTGGTTCTAATTCTTAAGCAGAAGTGCCGTCCTGTGACCACCCAGACACTGAGCCATGTTTTGTTAGGCACATGCATCTTGTGAATGATTTTGTCGAGAGGCTTGCTGACAGCTACGTGCTGCACTTGGGTAATCTACCTGTATAGGAACCTTGTCAAAATAGTAAATTAGAAATAGTCTAACCCAATGTCTTCTAGAAATAAGCTGCGATATAGTGATCACTATTGCCTTTTCCAGCTTTTTACCAACCTGTTTGACTTTGTTGTGAAATTTATTGTTCCTGATTTTTTTAAGTAGGACACCATTTTGTGAGCTTGGGGAACACGAGACTTTTTCTAAGATTGTTTTTCCATAATAATGTTGTTGGAATTAAATCCAGTAAGGCCTGGCATGTGATAATGGTTCTGTTCTGTTGAAGGATAATTTTAAAAATTAAACATTTCACACAAATACAAAACAAATATGTCAAAGATTTTAACTGATTTATTAATGAGGAAATTAGACCTTGCAAGTTCAAAAGATATTTCATAGAATCCTCGTACATAAAAAGTATGTAATGCTCAAATATATTTAAAAGACACTGAATTGACATGTCACTTGAGGGAAATCCCAAAAATACTTATTTACACATTCATACTAAACAATCATTTACATTAAGAGTTACTTAAAAATAATTCAGTTTTACATAACTCAAAAAAAATCAAAGAAGCCCAGAGACAACATCGATTCAGATAACCTGTAAGAATGTGTTAGACAATCCTTAAATATTGTCTAAATAATCTGGGTCCAATTAAGTCATTCATGGTGTTTTTCTGTGTTCATTTTACCTTTCTTCTTTTTGTCTTTACTCTTTCGTACCATTCTTTTTCAAAAAGCACTAATGGCCGTTTAGAAATCTCACTGTTGAAATGGTTAACGTACAGGAAAGCCATTTATGAGCTCTTAGACCAGTGTTTGGCAGTTATATTATTTGGTTGTACATTCACTCTGAATCCTTTGGCATGTCATTTTTGTCTGAGTTCATTTAATGTAAGGAATTCCGTGTTTGATGCACTTATCCTTCCAGTTAAGCATTGAGCTGCCGACCATGACCCCAACCTGTCTACATAGCAGCACTATCACTTCTGTGAAGAAATTGTCAGGTGATAATTCTACAGATAAAAATAAGAGGGAAGAGAGAGGAAGCATTGGGAGTTGAACCATCGTAGTCAAGTGACGCCACGTTGTAGAAACTAGCATGAAATAAAGGTTGAAGGAGAGGAGGGAGAAGGCTCGGGATAGAGGAGGAGCCCCTGATGGGAAATGGACCTGGCAGGGCTGAAAAATATCAGAGGCCAGAGGAGGCAGGTGAAGGATCACAATGGAGAGGAATAGATGAGGTTATGAAAACCAAAGGCCACCTGTAATCCCAGCCCTTTGGGAGGCCGAGGCGGGCGGATCACGAGATCAGGAGATCGAGACCATCCTGGCTAACACGGTGAAACCCCATCTCTACTAAAAATACAAAAAGAAATTAGCCGGGCATGTTAGCGGGCGCCTGTAATCCCAGCTACTCGGGAGGCTGAGGCAGGATGATGGTGTGAATCCAGGAGGTGGAGCTTGCAGTGAGCCGAGATCACACCACTGCACTCCAGCCAGGGCGACAGAGCGACACTCCGTCTCAAATAAAAAAAAAAAAAGGAAAACCAAAGGCCAGATCACGTAGGTGTGCGAGTCATTTTAAGGACTTTGGGTTCCCTCCGTGAGAAGGCTGTAAGCAGAGGAGTGCTGTCGCCTGGCATATTCCAAGGGCTCCTTCCATTGCCTCCTGTGCAGAGATGTAGAGGGACAAGGGCAAAAGTGGTGACGTTAGGCCTGTGATGACAAGAGTTCCCTGGGCCTGTTTCCAGACGAGGTGGGGAGACACTGGCCTCTAAGCTACATTAGGGATGTCAGGAATACACAGAGTCAAAGACCACTCCAAGGTGTTTGCACAAGCTACTGAAAGAATAGGTTTGCCGTTAATTGAGAAGAGGAAGGCTCCGGAAGGAATAGGTTTGGTTCTAGGTAAAATCTACTCACCTGTTTTGATCTGAATTGGTTCTCTAAATGTAGCCAATAACACAATTTGCAGTCCCAGATGATACTTGTAATCTGAAAATACGGCAGAATGCTGACACCAGCCGTTTTGCACCTTGATTTGGTTCACGTGGACAAGGTAAAATAACAAGACTTTTCAGAAAGCCGAAAATAATTGTTAGAATGAGAAAGTCCCACTGACTATGACAATCATAGTGTCTTTGCTGCAGCCTGACCCCTGAGCTCCTTTTATGAGCTTTCCTTTCCTTAGGTCTTGGCCTTGGAGAGGTAATTTCTAGGTCCCTGCCACTGATGTGTATTTGTCTTTAAGTAAGTAGTGCCTTCTTCCATTTTCCTACCAAAAGAGCTCCAGGGAGGCCACACCAAACTCTTCAAACAGGTCTTCTGTGTAAGACACAATTGTGCTCTTGTTATTAAAATTTCATTTAGAGAGTATAGCATTGTCTTTTGAACTTTTTTTCCTTTTAGAGTCTCTGATAAGAGAACTATACCCATCTCACATCATGCTCTTGAAGGTCTGTAAGGAGTCAAACAGAATGAGCTTGTTTCCAGCATTCCTTTCCTATTAGCCAAAATATTCTAAAATTCCTTGCAGTGTTCAAGTTTATAATTAGCTTAATTGATAATTCAATTGCTGTTTGGGCTAAATTCAATACAATAATTATTGATTATCCATTATATGAAAAACACAGGACATGCTAAGCTGATTCAGACATAGAAGCAAGCCCAGAGTAGGCTCTCCCTAAGCAATGTTTTTGAATTATGCTAAACACTCTTGTTATGATACATACAGTCCAGGGGAGGAGATCTACCTAGGTTTAGTAGGATATGGACCATTTTAACAATTAGGTTCAAATTGAATCTTGAAAAATCATTTGTGGCTGAATGGATGAATCAAGGAAGGAGGATTTAGCTGGGGACAAGAGTGTGTAAATGCCTTCATGTAAGAAGAAATAGAAAAGTACATGTTCAGAGGATAAGAATGAGTTGGTATATCAAGAGCTTAAATCATAAGGTTTGAAGTTTTGGCCTGAGTCTCATCAAAGTAGGTGTTGTCTACCCTGCTAAAGGTTTAAAATCAAAATATTATCCTCTTTATTAATGGTTTTTAAAAGGTTTTGTGATAACACCTTTAAAAAGGCCTATCGCCCAGTCAATAACAGAAGATCAACACTTTCTCAAGTTCCTTGGGTGAAGGTGGGGTCAGGAGTCTCAGAAGTCAGCCAGCTCTCCTTCCTTTCCCCAGGCATGCCCCAGGCACTGCTGCTTTCTCAACTTACACAGCGTGACAAGTGCTGTTAGAGCACAGAAAATAGAGAGCTGTAGGCTTTTTTTAGTCAAAAAGTTATATCTGAATTTTAGAAAGCGGTTCATCAGAACAGTGCAGATCAATTTCAGAAGACAGGGACGGACAGGAGGCAGGGCCTGTTGAGTAACCCATGTGAGAGATGGGGTTATCACTACACAAATCTACAGCTTAGGACAGGGTCCTTAGTCAAGCCTTGTAAACCATCATATTACTTTGTTAGTTCAGGAATGGAATTCCAACTGTTTGGATCCCAAAAACCAGTGTTCAACCCACTAGATGATTCTGTTTTTTTGGAACTCCTTTTCACTGACTTTTGTCCAATTATTTCATTGAGTTTGTCCAATTATTTCACTAGTTCTTTCCCCATATAAGAAATAGTAAATGCAAGGTGCTTTCTACGGTAAATATTTTGTTAGCTTTAGCTTTACCATTGGGCTTGAGATTTTTTTAAAAAGATAATAGCTTGTCCAACCCTATTTGCACCTTGATTTGGTTCATGTGGACAAGAAAGGTAAAACAAGATATTTCAGAAAACTGAAAAGAATTGTTATAATGCACTGACTCTTGAAAAGGGAGAAAATATTTGTTTCTTAAAATAACAATTTTTCAACAGGTTTAATGTGCTAAGTAAAGAAAAAAGTTGTCTGTGCTTAAGTCAGAACTCTATCCTCTGGCCACTCATGGGTGGCACAAAGACAGCCAAGATTAACGGTTTAGAAGGATGTCTGCTTGGTAGTCTAAGACGGAAAAAGAGAAAAATGGAGGAGATGAGCAGGGAATGAGGACATTTGAATTGATCCAGGTGCAGGAATTACACATTCAGTAATGGGTCAATTAAATAATCTGTATAGTGACTCCTCCTTTCCTTGCCATGAATTGGTTTAATTGAACACGAATTGAAGTAGATTCTTAGCTGGAATGTGTCCCTGGGAGCTTTGTGCAGACACAAGGAAACTGTTAAGGACTTTGAACATTGTTTACAGAACGAGTTGTCAACATTTGTTTTTTCTTTTTTTTTCTTTTTTTTTTTTTTTTTTACTCTGAAGAATCTAGAGCAAGACTAAGTTGAAATTTGAAAAGAAATCAAAGCTAATCACTTCTTTTAATTGTTCTGCCATGAAACAGACTTTTGTTGCCTTTGAGGCCAGTTGAGCTATGTTGAGAAAGCTCCCACAGCTGAGCATTTCCTTACAGCTAAGGGAAGGAAGAAATGTTCACAGGAAATTCTAATTTCAATGCTGTAAAAACACACTGTAAAATTTCAATATAATTAAAAATAACCTTAGTCTCATCGCTGAAGTCATCTTGGAATAATGTTTCCCCTGCTCTCTGAATTTAAATTTTAAATGGCTTGTTATTTTTCTATGGATTTCAGTTGGTGGTATTCTCATATTATAATTTGATAAATATAGTATTATTGGAAATATGTATTTGTTGTACACCATTTTAAAATTTTTAAAAAGCTGGGACTGGAGAACATATCCCAACTCAGAGTTATATTTGTTCTGAAAAATTAAACATTTAAATAAAGTCAAAAAATTGAACTGGCTTATGAACTCTTAGAATAACTAAACTTTGTGACACTGTTGGCATTTGTTTGCCCATTTTTGCTCATGGTTTTCCAAACACAGCTTTCCATTGCCTTCTAAACAATAAACTTCAACATTTGTTCAATATATAGGCTAAATTTCCTTGCCTATATATTGAGTATATATATACTCATTTGAAGACAATATCAAAGTGAGTGTTTTTTTTGGCTTTGTTTTTTCTTCAACTCCCCGATACATCTCCATGGCTAGTCCTTGTCAACCTCTGTCAACTTTTCTTCCCTTTCTTTCTTCCCTCTTCTGTTTCTCCTCCTCCTCCTCTGTTTTCTTCCTCATCAAGCTTATTCTTCCACTGATCTGTGGTTATCTGGGAAGGATAGCCAGGAGAGATCCCTGTCTCACTATTATAAAAGCATCATGCCCAATCTTAAACAGCTCTTAAGACCACGGAGTAAGACTCTCTCACAATATTTCATTCTTTATAAAACTATCCTCCCATTTACTCGAGAGCTGGTGTCATGATATTTAATCTCTCCATAACTTGTTTGACTTGTGTTATCATTGGATGGTAATAAAAGTAATTTGTCAATCCAAATGTGATTGCACATCTTTAATGTCTCAGTCTTTTCCCATCTGTCCTTGTCTCTCCCACAAGGTATTGGAAGCACATAATTTCTCTACTGACTTTTCCTTCTTCTATGGCTGTGAGTTTGTTAGTGCAGTGAGTCAGCCACTTCCAGATACAATCACCTGTGAAGAGGATAGAATGTGTGGCTTGAGATACTTCAGGAATGTGGGGTGGGTTGGCAGTAAAGTACCCATAACCACCCCCATTCTCAGAGGTGAGAAAATAATAGATGACCTACAAACTAGAGTTCCTCCAAACACCAGCATCCTTTCCTACCATTCTTCTTCCTTTAATGGTCAGAGCAATAAAGTGAATTTCATCTCTCCAGTACTTGGGATTTGGAAATCTTGTTCTACTGAGGCCTTAACTTAATAATCCTCAACGTCTGACTTCTAAGTGGCCTGCTGAAAAACAGGCATTGCTTTACTTGACTTCCATTCTGAGAGTGGAGTTGTATGTGCTTCCATATCCCCCACTGTTAAGTCACCTCTTGGGAGGACGACGAACCATCTTGGTATTTTAAAATAATATGGCAAGGCAGGATGGTGTCAATGGTGAACGTACAAGGCTCCTTCAGCATGATGAAATAGACTTTCAAACCATGTTTTCTCATTTATCTTTAGTAGACATGTACTGATGTACACTTTTTGCAAGCACAGGGACCGTCATCTTCACCAAGACATCCTAGTGTCTGGGTTAGCACCTGGGTCACAGGCACTGGAAAAAAAGATGAAAGAGACACATACTCAAACTTCAGAGCAAATGTGTATACTTTATGTGGCATCCTCCTGGTTTGGACTTCCTATTCCCTCTGGTGACATAAAGTGACATAGTTTGGGGGTAATATTCTGAGCCTTAGATGGGAAAATTAACTGTTAGTGTCTCCCAGTGAAAACCGTTCCGTTTCAGGTAAACTGAGTCTGAAATGCTCGGCCTTGTTGTGTTTCCCTTTTTTCCTATTTTCTTCCTTTCCCAAGGTAGCTCCTGGGTTCAGGAAAAAGAAGTCATTCTGGTGGCATCATGAGTGGGAGGAAGCACATCTGGTTTGAATATGGCTTCGTGCTCAGCCCCAATGGAGAGGCTAATAAAACTAATAAAAACTAATAAAAAACTAATAAAACTAACACAGCAGGGTAAATTGGGATCATAGATACTTTCCTCCCAAAACTTCAAAGAGAATCAGTTTTCTTGATCTCTCAGCCCAGCCCCACCCCACTCAGCAGGACTCGCCTTAAAGCAACGGATGCTGATGATCCAATCAGTGTAGATACATTAAAACACAACAATACAGAGTTTGGCTATATTACAGGATTGACTACAGGCGGCCCCTGACTTACCATGGTTCAACTTGGGACTCTTACCCTTTTACAATAGCGTGAAAGTAATAACACGTTCAGTAGAAACCACCCGTTGAGTACCCATACGACCATTCTGCTTTTCACTTTTAGTTCAATATTGAATAAATGACACGAGATACTCAATGTGTTATTATAAAATAAGCTTTGACTTAGGTGGTTTTCCCAGCTGTAGGCTAATGTGCGTGTTCTGAGTGTGTTTAAGGTAGGCAAGGCTAAGCTACAATGTTTTGCAGGTTAGGTATATTAAATGCATTTTCATCACTCTTTTCAGCTTACAATGTTTTTATTAGAACATAACCGCACTGTAAGTTGAAGAGCGTCTGTCCATTGCATGCATACATAATAATGCCCTGTGCTTCATACAATCACTGCAGGAAGATGTTAATGTGGGAATGTTAAGAGGCAGTGAAATCCAAACTGGGTCTTGGAAGGCTAAATTAGAGTCCTGTAAGTGAAGTAGAGAGGAAGTAGAATTCCAGCTGGAGGGATAAGCCTTCGACTCAAGGTTCTGAGCTCTATCTCATTCTTTTAGAAAACTGAGAAACCTGTTTCTTTCAGTCTTCTTACCATATTCCTTTTTTTTTAATTCGTAAACTGAATTAATATAGGTGTCATGTGATATAACAGGAAATGAGACTTATAGCTAAATGGAATTTCAATATCCCATATTGCGCTCTGTTCTCTAGTCCTGAGCTGCTGCTTTCTTTTAATCAGAGCTATATTGAAATGATTCACATACCACAATATTGACCTGAAGTGTACTCTTCAGTGCTTTTTAATATATTCCTGGGGTTATGCATTCATCACCACAGTTATTTTTGGAAGATGTTTAATGCAAAAAACCCAGTATCCATTAGTACCCACTCACTATTTTCCCTCAGCCCCACGGCCCAAAGGAAACACTAATTTATTTTCGTCTCTAGGGATTGGCCTATTCTGGACATTTAATGTAAGTGCAATGGTACAAAATGTGTTTTGTGACTAGCTCTTTCCATTTAGTAGGTTTTCAAGGTTTGTCAGGTTGTGGAATAAATCGGCAGTTCACTTCTTCTGTATTTCTGGATCCTATTTAATATGATGGATATAGACCATGTTTTTTCATCGGTTGACTGACATTTGTATTGTTTCCACTTTTTGCAATTATGAATAACTCTGCTATAACCATTTGCATACAAATTTTTACGTGGACACATTTTAAGTATAGAACTAGCTGTGGATTTGCTGGTTCATATGGCAATGTTATGTCGAACTTCCGGAGTATTTTACAAAATAGACGCACCATTCTATATTCTCACCAGCCATAGGGAAGTGAAACACCCATACACCTCCTCACCAACACTTACTAACTGTCTTTTTGATGGTACCTATTTTAGTGGACATGAACTGGTATCTCAGTACGTCTTTGATTTGCATTTCCTTGATGGCTAAGGATGCTGAGAATTTTTATACGGGCTTCTTGGCCATTTGTGTATCTTCTTTGGGGCAGCGTCTATTCGATTATTGTGCCCATACTTGGTAATTTGTCTTTTTATTGCTGAGTTTTAAGAGATCTTTATGTATTCCAGATGCAAGTTATTTATATTTTATATAATTTGCAAACTTTCCCTATTCTATAGATCTTTTTCTGTTCTAATGTTTTTTGAAATACAAAGTTTAAAATTTTGATGAATTCCAGTTAATTCTTTTCTTGTGCTTTTGATGTCATATCTAAGAAGACTTTGCTTAACATCAGGTTACAAAGATTTACTCCTATATTTTCTTCAAAGAGTTTGAGCTGCACTTCTTACATTTGGGTCTATGATTTATCAATTTTTTTGTGGATAGTGTAAGGAAGGGGTACCCTCTTGTGGATACTCAGTTGTCTGAGCACCATTTATTGAAAAACTATTTTTTTCTTGATTGTTTTGGCATCTTGTCAAAAATCAAATTGACGGGTAATGTCAGTGGTTTTTATCTCTGGAACGTGAATTTTATTTCATTAATCCATGTGTCTAATGCAAGCATAATGGAATCATGATCAATGCGGTTTCCTAGAAAGTGCTGAATCAGGTAGGTATGAATATTGAAATTTTTCTTTTTTAAAGATTGTTTTGAGTATTCTAAGTCCTTTGAATATCCATATGCATTTTAGGATCAGCTTGTTAATGTACGCAAATAAGCCAGCAGAGATTTTAATAGGAATTATGTTAAATTTGCTAATCAATTTGGGGAGTATTGCCATCTTATCTATATTAAGTCTTCTGATTCATGTACATGAAATATTTTTCCATTTATTTAGGTCTTCAATTTCTTTAAACACTTATAGTTTTTGGAATATATATTTTGTACTTATTTTGTTAAATTTATTCCTAATTATTTTGGAGTTTTTAGATGCTATGGTAAAGGGATTGTTTTCTTTTTAAATTTCATGTTCAGCTTATTACTATTGTGGATAAATACAATTGCTTTTTGTGGCTGAGTGTGGTGGCTCACACCTGTAATCCCAGCACTTTGAGAGGCCAAGGTGGGAGGATCCCTTGAGCCCAGGAGTTTGAGACCAGCCTGTGCAACACAGTGAGACTTCATCCCTATAAAAAATAAGATTAGCAGCCAGACGTGGTGGCTCAGCCTGTAATCCCAGCAATTTGGGAGGCCGAGGTGGGCGGATCAGGAGGTCGGGAGATAGAGCCCATCCTGGCTAACATGATGAAACCCCGTCTCTTCTAAAAATACAGAAAAATTAGCCGGGCGTGGTGGCGGGCTCCTGTAGTCCGAGCTACTCGGGAGGCTGAGGCAGGAGAATGGCGGGAACCCCGTAGGTGGAGCTTGCAGTGAGCTGAGATCGTACTACTGCACTCCAGCCTGGGTGACAGAGCGAGACTCCATCTCCAAAAAAAAAAAAAAAATAAGTAAATAAATAATAAATAAGATGAGCTGGCTATGGTGGTGTTTGCCCATGGCCCCAGCTATACAGCAGGCTGAGGTGGGAGGATTGCTTGAGCCCAGGAGGTACACGATGCAGTGGGCTGAGATTGTACCACTGCATTTCAGACTGGGCAACGGGATGATGTATCCCCCAACACCCCACCCCCACCCACCAAAAAAAAATATGGATTTTTGCATATTCATCTTCTACTCTGTAACCTTGCTGGAGATGTTCTTAAATTCTAATAGTTTTTAATGGATATCTAAGATGTTCTGTATACTAGATCATGTGATTTGTAAATAGTTATATTTTTATCTTCTTTACCTATCTTTATGCCTTTAAATTTCCTGCATCACTGCCCTAGCTAAAACCTCCAGTATGCTGTGGAATAGAATTTGTCTTATTGCTGATTTTAGGCAGAAAATGTTCAATATTTCATTAAATACAATGTTAACTGTAGGCTTTTCGCAGGTGACTTTTATCAGGTTGAAGAAATTCCCCATTGCTAGTTAATTGTTTTTATCATCAAAGAATGTTGAATTTTGTCACTTTTTATCTGGTAAGACAATCAGCTGACTTTATTTTATTGTTATGGCACAGTGTTAGATTTTCAGATGCTAAGCCTATCTTGCATTCCTGAGATAAATAGCACTTGGACACAGTATATAATGCTTTATATGTTGTTGGATCTGAATTTCTTGATTTGTTTTGAGCATTTTTGTGTTCATATTCTTAAGAAATACTAGTCTGTAGTTTCTATCTATAACTATGTCTGGCTTTGATATTGGGGTATTGACCTTATAAAATAAGTTGGAATGTGATCCCTCTTCTATTTTTGGAAAGAATTTATTAAAGACTGACAATAATTCTACTCTCAATGTTTGGTAGAATTCACCAGTGAAGCCATTTGAGCCTGGAATTTTCTTTAGCATAATTTTAAAATTACTACCTTTACTTGAGGTCTATTCTGATGTTGTTTGACTTAAGTTTTGGGTAATTTGTATTTTTGTAGTCATCCAGTTTGTTGACTACCAGATGTTTATAAAATTCTCTTACAGTCTTCTTCTTAAATATCTGTAAGGTCCATAGTAATATTCTCTACCTTTTTTTCCCCCATTTTAGTAATTTGAGACTTCTTTATTTCTTGAACAGTCTAGCAAAAGATTCTTAATTTTGTAGAAGGTTTAAAAATTTCTTTGAATTTGCTTACGTTCATTTTTTTCTATTGTATACTTGATTATTCTCACTAGAATATTTGTTATTCTGCTTACCGTAAGTTTAGCTTGTACTTTTTCCAGGACAGTGAGGTGGAAGGTGAGGCTATTTATGTAAGATTTTTTCTTTTTAAATATAGTTATTTACTACTCTAAATTTCCCTCTATGCAATTCTTCAGTTGCATTTCATACATTTTGATGTATTTGATCTCCATTTTCGTTCATATTATTTTTAAATTTCCCTAGTGATTTCTTTAACTCCTTTGGGTTTTTAGAAATTTTTTTAACTTCCACGTATTCTATTATTTCTCAAATTCTAATTTTCTTGCATTGAGCTCAGATAATTTATTTATATAATTTCACTCATTTTAAATAAACTGAAAGTAGTTCTGTGGCATGGCATATGCTCTGTTGTGGAGAATGTTTCATACGCCCTTGAAAACAATATTCTGTTATTGGCTGGAATGTTCTGTAGATGTCTGTTCATTCCAGTTGGTTTATAGTACTATTTTGGTTGTCTAGTCTGATGGTCATTTTGGCTAGATTGTTCTGTTCCTCTATGAAAATGAGTAGAACAGTCATTATTGTTTGATTGTTTATTTGGCATGCAATTTTGTCAGGTTCTGTTTTATATATTTTGAGGCTCTGGTAGGGGCATGCTTTAGTTATCTAGGCCCAGTGACACAAAGTACCACAAATTGTATGGTTTTAAACAGCAAAAATTAATTTTCTCATAGTTCTGGAGGCTAGAGGCTGAATCACTAATAAATTTCCACCTGATTGCTTCATTATTTCTGAACTTGCTCTGGGCTCCATATTCTTATGTCCACACTTCTTTGCAGGAGATATTTTTGAGGCCAGGCTTTGAGGTTTGTTCTAACCCACAATGCGATCTTCTTCTCTGTCTCTTATTATCTTAGACTAGCCATTCCATGGATTAGCCTGCAGCTCTAGTGAAAGCACCAGGCTCCTCTAAATTGCTTATCCTCACAATTTCCATTTATTTTTGAGAGCAACCTTGGATTTGAATTTCCTGCCCTCTATCTCTCCTCTTGGGAAAAATCTCTGAGCCACTGCTTCAGACGTGGGGCAGAGACACTCTCAGCTTCTGCTGGACTGACATTCTTGTTTCATGAGTAAACCACGGGTCTGAGGTGAGAGCTTGATTGTCTTGGTTTGCTCCTGGTGGCATAGAACCTTCACCTTATATGCCATCTGGTGCACAAGTGACAGGAACTGCAGCATTTTGACCTTTTATTCTGGAGTTGAGCCTCCCATACCTCCTACATAGGTGGAACTTGAAAGCGACATGGCCTGTTGGCCAAACTCATCTGCAGTTTATCCTTTGCCTATGAAGCTTGTGAGGATGAGAAAGGATGGTGGCCTGACCCTCCTGGTTAGAAGCGTACCCTGGCTGGAATCTGCAGGTAGAGAGAATCTAGTTTTCCTGGCCATACTCACCTAGATTGGAGATAAGGGGAAGAAAGCAGGCTGTGGCCCAAGCTGCACAAACGTGAATCCTCACTGAGATGTTCTTGGTTAGATGTTTCCTCGTTGGTTTACAAGCTTAATGCACTTCCAGAAACTTAAATATTTTTAATACATTCTCCACCCATTGTGCTTGTTTCACTGTGGAATGAGTATTCAGTGCTACGCTTGCCTCAGTTCTGAAAGTGGGTCTTTGGATCTAATTGAAAAGTTGTTAAAAAAAATTAAATATTCCTAACCGTTATCTTATTCAATGCATAAAATGTTTTTGTAAGTAACAAAAGGAGAATATTTTTCCCACTAATAAAGAAATAATCTAATTATTTTGCTGCAGTTTTGGTTAGTTTCAGACAAGGACCTTTGAGAATACAAAATACATTCTCATTGATTTTGCTGCTGAGGTGTGGGTGATGATTTTTCTTTTTTTTCCTTGTATTTACTGTTACAATGTCTTTCAAAGAGTAACAGTTAACATTAAGAAAATACATACCTCTTTCACACTATACAGAATTTTCATCTATTTCTCATAATATGCATGCTTAGCAATAGTAGTTACACATAACTTTAACTTCAGACTGTTTTAGAAACCAACTGATAAAAATCACTGCCAATAATCCCCATAAACTTGTAATAACTTTAGGTTTATAAATTAATTTCATTATTATGATTACTGATATAACTTTCAGCTAATCGATCCCTTGTGCGCACACAAAAAAAAAGAGGGAGAAAGATATTTCTCATTGAGTGTCATTTTTTGTGGTTACTCTGCAACCATTTAAGTGTGACCGATCATTATAAGTTCCATATTTCTTTACAAGGTGATTAGTATCATTTTGATATTTAGTATATTAATCAGCATCCACTCAAGACAGCAAAACCATAAAGTAATTTAAACACAGAAAGTTTCATGTAAAGAAATATTAAGTATATAAGGAGTTAAAAACATGAAGGATTGTGTACCTCAGGGGTAAAAGGAATTTTAAAGAATAGAGGAATACCGGATATAGGGAGAAGTCACTACCTCTCAGGGGAAGTGCCACCAACCAAAGAAGTACATCTGGGTTTTTCTGCCTGGGTTGACATACATAGACTCTGCCCCATGGTGTATGGGAAAATGGAGACGTTCACTACGGTGCTGCATCAAGCTGTCCCAGGGGAGGTGCCAAGCCTCGGAAGTCACTGCAAAGCTGTCTGCAAGGGTGCTGAGGTGGTGAGAAGCCAGCTAAGAGGGACTTGGGAGAAGCAGCCAGTGAAGAGGTGTCCTATGCTGCTGGATCCCATACAGAGGAGCACATGAAGGACCGGGAAGGGAAGCTGCCTCTCCCATGTGAACCTCTAGTGCTCTTCATTGTCTGAGCTTAACATCATGCTATTTGAAAATAAATATTTATGATGATTGGCTCCATTATGATTAAGTAGCAATGTAGGGTGCATTTGAAGCTCAGAGACAATAAATTAACAGGCCCATCTAGTATAAAATTGAAATTTTCTTAATTACATGGGTATGTCCAGATGATCATTTCTTATAGAAAACTACAGGTAATCTTTTCCAATAAGCAAGACTTTTCAATGCATTATGTTTGTTTTTTCCCTGTCACTCCCCTGAGTTTAGTAAACATTCCCTTCCTGTTCCAGACCTCGGGAAGCCCCAATCACTTCTTCCTCCGCAAACCCCTCTCCGGTGTCCCAAGCACTCTACAAATTCAAAAGTAGTCTTAGAAAGATGCAATTCAAATGATATATGTAAGTAAGATGGGCAAACAGGTAAAACCACTTGGTTGAGAATGGGAAAGATGAGTTCCCCCCTTCCCTCCACATGTGTTTAACAGGACACATTTCACATCTAGGTCCGTAAAACCCAAATCATGGTATCAAAAGGTATAGGAATAACTCTTTCACAGTAAGAAACACATCGATAGTCATATTATTTTTCTCTGTGCCAGACACACCTGGTATGGGGCTTAATTCTCTGAGATGCTCCAGGAATCAGCGATTAACATTGATTTTCTTTTCTTGTTGTTTTTTTTTTTTTTAAAAAAAAACCACACTCATCAAAATCTCTTGTAAATCAGAGGAATTGCCATGCTCAGGATAAACAGTTGGTGGGTGGAAACTGGCTTCAAATACGGGTGTGTTCTCCCTTTGAAGCCAGTGCCCAGGGCCAGGCTTGGTCAGGATGGGTCCTGCAGGTACCCACTGGCTCAGCCTTCACAGGTAGCTTCTTCAGCTTACCTCGTAGGTTGTCAGATGGGTCTTCTCCCTAGGATCTAGCAACTAGACAGTAAGGACTGATGCAGCAGGGGGTCCACATGCCTGTTTCTTCCACCAGAGCCAGCATCCATCAGATCAGATGATTGGTTGGAGGGTCTCTCTGCCATACTGATGATTAAATATGTTTAATATTGCCTCTACTCTTCTATCCCTACAGCCGTGTTTGTGAGAAGACAGGGCTGTTTTCAGTTCTACCCAAAGTGGTGTCACTACTGAAGTGCCAACACTATAAACATTTACTTAGAACCTACAATTTTCCAAAGACTATTCCCTGTCTGTTGGTGATTTTCGTTAAGAATACTCTTAACAGCAATTAAAAATACTTTTTTTCTAAGAAGTCGATATCTTGTCTTTGATACCTAGCTATTTGATTAGTGACAGATACAGTATTTTTACCAACATGTTCCTGCTCTATGACTAATTTTTTTATTACTGCTGTCTTTATTACAAATTGTCTTCAGCTTTTAGATCTCACTTAACATCTTTTCTGTTACATACTTTGTATTTTAAAGCATATTTTCTGAACCAATTGGCCCAAGCTTTAAAAACCTGTAATAAAGTTTGTGTCATGCTTTTTCCAAAAGACAGGGACCACTCTCTGTTAACCCTCTCAGCATTTGGCATAATGTCCTTCTTATTTTAAGTGTGCAGTACGTACTTTCACATTTTTTTTTTTTTTTTTTTTTTTGGTCAATGATAGTATTGAAGAACTTGAAGAGGAGAATGGACTGTGTTAAGGAGAAGATAAGCAATTTATTGTTTGTCTTCTAATATCTTAACTGCATTTTTTTTTTTTTTTTTTTTTTTTTTTTTTTTTTGGAGTTGGAGTCTCACTTTGTCACCCAGGCTGGATTGCAGTGGCATGATCTTGGCTCACTGCAACCTGTCTCCCAGGTTCAAGCAGTTATCTTGCCTCAGCCTCCTGAGTAGCTGGGATTCCAGGCACATGCCACCACATCCAGCGAATTTTTGTATTTTTAGTAGAGACGGGGTTTCACCATGTTGGCCAGGCTGGTCTTGAACTCCTGACCTCAGGTGATCGACCCGCTTCGGCCTCCCAAAGTGCTGAGATTACAGGGGTGAGCCACTGTATCTGGCCTCAATTGCGTTTTATGTTTTTCCTCCTGAAAGAGAAAATAAGATGATTTAAAAATTCACAATTTGTCAATTTGATCTCACAAGCAGGAGGTCATATTCTATAAAGTGAGGCCCATGATGTGTTTCTGGTCCAGCTGCAGAGACAAATGGAAACCAGCTTCCTCTATTCTTAGATGTGCTGTCAAGCAAGGTGGCTGTGTGCTTGTATCATTTCTCCATCATTTGCCTTCTAATGATACACATGACAGCTGTGTATAAAATGTACTGAGTTGATGACCAGTTTTCCAGCTTCTGGGTGTCACTTAGTTTGCTTGTTACATGGATTTGTGATCATCTTCTTTGCTAATGGATGCAAGAATCCATCATGAAGTTCTCCTTCTCCTATTTTTTTTAACCTGGGGAAAAGGCCAACAAATATTTTAGAGAAGTATTTCAGAGTAAGATAAAGAGAGTCATAGCTTTTGTTGCATCTTTAATTCTGAAATACCATTTTCCTTTTGGCTGTTGTCCAAATCCTCTTTGATATCCGTCATCCTTTATTACGTGTCAGACCTTAAGAAAAAATTCCTGTATAGCACGAAGTTTCCCAGCCTAAACATGGTGATATTGTGTTGATGACAGCGGACTGACACACTGGGATAGCAACACACAGGAGCCCTTCTCCTAACTCTGCCATCCCAGGTCCATGAAGAAACAACGTACAGAAGCGTCATGAGTCTGGAGTGAGATGTGTTTGTAAGACTTCAGTTTCTGTAGGTGTATCACAGGACGCCATTTAGATTAAGTTTCTTTAAAACTAAACTGTGGAAAAAAACCTTTGCTCTTCTTATGGTTGAGATAATTTTCACTTCTAGTTGTAGCTTAAGTGCCTTTAGAATGGCTATTTCAGACATTCTTCCTTTCTAAACGAGTATAGTTTTATCCATTTACTTACCGAAAGTTTCAGGTTGATTAGCTGCTATGTAGAGAACATGCTAAGATAATAGGACCTGGAAGGCTGCACTGAAGCCTTAGTCTCTTTATCAGCTTCCTTCTGCTATGCCCTCCTTCCCCAGCCAGCCCTAAATCAGTGCTGCATTGGGTCTACTCTGTGCAAAGGTGCTCTGTATTAGAAATCAGAAACCACACTTTTTCTTTGCTTCCAAGGATTGTATATGTGACTAGGGGAACAAAATACTTGAAGAGTTTATACTCAAACGGCGGTGTAGCCAGACTAGGGTAGGGTATCCAAAGAAGATCTCCTAGAGGTATACCAGAGCCAAATTTTGAAAATCAAGAGGTATGTGTTGGGAGAAGAAAAGTAAGATGAAGCTGCATGTCTACTGACAAGGATGCGGAAGAAGAGGCTGCGTCTGGTGTCCACCGAAGTCAGGAGTCCAGTTAGGCAGTGAGAGGCGGTAAGCACTGTAAGGAGGGTGGCGGTGTTGGGGGTGGATAAGGAGACACGGAGTTTTAATGCAGAATGGGGTAGGAACTGATAATAGGCTGAATCTGCTCACAGAGTAGGAGGAATCAAGAATGAATTGCAGGCTGGGCACAGTGGCTCACGCCTGTAATCCCAGCACTTAGGGAGGCCGAGGCGGGCGGATCACGAGGTCAGGAGATCGAGACCATCCCGGCTAACACGGTGAAACCCCGTCTCTACTAAAAAATACAAAAAATTAGCCGGGCGCGGTGGCGGGCGCCTGTAGTCCCAGCTACTCGGGAGGCTGAGGCAGGAGAATGCTGTGAACCTGGGAGGCGGAGCTGGCAGTGAGCCGAGGTCGCGCCAGTGCACTCCAGCGTGGGTGACAGAGTGAGACTCTGTCTCAAAAAAAAAAAAAAAAAAAAAAAAAGAAACGAATTGCGCAATCTTGTTCGGGAACCTGGGTGAAAGCTGAGGCGTTCGCTCAAATGGGGACCCGGAATTACGTTTGGGGATGGTTAAGCCCGCTGTGATGCCTGTGCATACCCAAGCAGGCATGGTCTGTAGACTGCGGGACCTGCAGGTGTCGGGGGCTAGAGATACACATGCCAGTTCTATACATTTCTCAGCACTGTGCTGTCGATTCACAGCAGTTCAATTGTTCAAGCGATATAAGCCAGTCATGTGGCCCAAGTTATTCTGTCGGCTGTGTTCTCTGCAGGAATCTGATGCAAGAAGGCCTGAAGGATGCATGGCTTTGAATTCAGCCAGACTTCGCATCACCGTTCTTGCTGCTGCACCAACACACGGGTGACTAACTGTCCAGTGTCTTCTGGGAATCTCCTGACTTCAGCACCAAGTTCTGTGCCCAGGAGACCCCCAATCCCAGCAGACTGGGGCAGTTGGTTCCCAGTGGGAGTCTGAATTCTTGGGGACAGTTGATTGCCAGTGGGAGTGTAAATTCATGTTTTGGTTACATTAGGTACAGCTAGGAGGTTCAGTGTGTGTGTGTGTGTGTGTGTGTGTGTCTCTGTGTGTGTCTGTGTGGGTGTGTCTGTGTGTTGGGATGGAGGGGGGAACGGGCTTGTGCCATATTTGCCTCAAATTGGTGACACATGTGTCCAAGGAATTCCGAATCATTGGCTCCCTGTCTATAGCCCCAGGAGAGCTTATCACCATTCATGGTCCTAGCACAACATGCTTGAAAATCTAAGTTGTCCCTTAAATTGTATTCTTCAGAGGACTGTGGGAAACAGTCTCTGCAACTCCAGAAACAAAAGCTTAAATTGAAAAATCAACGCTATTTAACTAAAATAAAAAGGCTGTTACCACTGTGCCCATCGTTGCTTCTCTACTGAATTTGTTTCACAGTCGGCCTTCCTATATCACCTTCTCATTTTGCCTTTAGTTTTTTTCACCTGATATTGAGGACTGGGGGATTTTTGTTATTAATCCAATAAACTTTATTGGATTTGTGTTATTGGATGATATGTTGAAAGATGAATAACCTGTGTCTGTGTCCGTGTTGATTTAAATGTAATTGAGAGTATCAGGATTTAGACTTTATTTCTGGAGAAAATATGCAATGTTACGTTTCACTCAAGAATTTTTCATTGTGCACTTCACATAAAAACTATTATCTTTTTCGTTACCGGTTTTCTGATGTTTAATATTCTTGATAAAAATGATTGGAAAAAGTGAATTATTTTTATAATTGTTGAGTTAATGAACTAAAATTAAAGCTGTAGTTAGCAGGTCATGGTTTGCTCAAATATGAGTGGGTAATGCCTGACAGGATTAATGCCTTATTTGTCAAGAATCACCGTGTAAGAACATGAACCTCTGAACCCCAAGCCCTCGAGGCTACGCCTTTGTATTGTACTTGTCACCCCAGTGGAATTTGTTTAGAGCCATTGCTTTCAAAAACTGTAGAAATAATTCACCTAAATAGTTGTTAAGACAAGTCATCCTCCTTTGACAAGGAGGAGCTGAGGCGTTCAGTTTGGGTTGTTGGAATCAGTCTCAGGCAGTCAAACTGATAAAAAGCAGAAACGTGCACTAAGCGAAGAGAAGGAAGAGGCATGGAAACTCCCAAGCACAATGAAAGCTGGTGTTTGTACAGACCTCTGGAAGCATCACACTGCCCTAAATTTCTAAAGAAAGCAGAGGAGATCATTCTGGCCCCTAATCTTCCTCTTCCACCCCTCTGGTGAGAAGGCAGGCTGCCTAAAGATAATATTTCATTATATATATATCAAACTATATGTATATCAAATTATATATATTTATATATTATATATAATAATATACATTAAATTTTACATCTCTGGGCAGGTATCATTTTAGTGTGGAAGAAAAAAGAGAACACATGAGGTTTGAAAGGGAAAGCATAAATGAGTGAATTACGTAAACAAAACTCACTGTGGTAAGAGCCCATCCTTTAAGATGGCATTGTGGATCCTGCTCAAATACTACTGATGGTTCTATCTGTATCATTCGATGCCTTGTTGTTGTAATTTGTTTTAATTTTAAAAAGCTTTGCCTGGAAGAACTGATATTTCATGGTCATCAGTGAACTCAATTGACTAAGGAATGTATCCTAACATTACCTTCTAGTAGATTCCTTCTTGAATATAACCTCTAAAATGGTCTTCTTTTTAAGGCTTTCTTTGTCTTCACTCTATCGCTCACCCTTTACCTTTCCAGAGTCACTGTCTCTGGAATTTTTGTGATAAGAAAACTTGTTTAATATTTCTCTATGGGTAAGCTTTAGGAGAGTGGGACTTGATGAGAGTGATAAGCTTTTCTGACCACTTTTTCAGTGTGGAAAACACTGATCATAGCACATGTTCAATAATTATCTTCCATAAACACTTGTGATTGCCTTATTATTTTGAGTCAGGGTCTTGCTTTGTTGCCCAGGCTGGAGTGGTGCAGTGGTTGATTGATGGAGTCATGATTGGTTGGATCACTGCCGCCTGGACCTCCTGGGCTCAAGCCATCTTCCCTCCTTAGCCTCCCAAGTAGTTGAGACTACAGGCACATGCCTCATCACACTTGGTTATTTTTATATTATTTTGATAGAGACAGGGTCTTACTGTGTTGCCCAGGCTAGTCTGGATCTCTTGAACTCAGGAGTAATCCTCCTGCCTTGGCCTCCCAAAGTGCTTGACTGACTTATTGAATGAGCAGTGCAGAATTCACTAAATTCCATTTTTTTTTTCCCCACGTTGGTCAACAGAAAGCTTAGCTGTCAATTCAGTACCCAAATATAATACGTTACTGTAGATCTTAGTTGTATGGGTTCTTTTATTGGCCCTTTCCTCTCCATGATTTAATTTTAATTTTTATATTAGCGCAATCTGGTTGGAAGAATATTAACAATTGTTCCTCTCACATCCACCACCCTTACTCACAAGTGCAGTATGTTTATGCCTCTCGTAAATGAAAGCAAAATGAAAATACAATACTTGCTTTCAATTTGTGAAGAGACCGCTGTTTTGTTGCTATTCTGTTAAATGTTTGACATTTATTAAAACTCTGTGATGTGTTATACATTGGATACAGTGCAAGACAGTGGATACTGCATCAAAGTACCAAATTTTTTTTTCTTTGGAGACTGAGTGTCACTCTGTTACCAGGCTGGAGTGCAGTGGTGCGATCTGGGCTGCAACCTCTGCCTCCCGGGTTCAAGTGAATCCCGTGCCTCAGCCTCCCAAGTAGCTGGCACTACAGGCCCGCACCACCACACGCAGATAATTTTTGTCAATTTTGTATTTTCAGTAGAGATGAGGTTTCACCCTGTTGGCCAAGATGGTCTCCATTTCTTGACCTGCTGATCCGCCTGCCTCAGCCTTCCAAAGTGCTGGGATTACAGGTGTGAGCCACCACACCCGGCTACTAAATATCTTTAAAAAAACAAAGAAAAAATACTCTGAGTTGCAGCAAACAGTGCACAGCTTTCTCCCATGTTGTGTGCTCCTGAAGATCAGACACTGTCTCTTTGCTTTCATCTTAGTCTCCCTCACATATAGGTACTCTGTAACTTCAATTGTTGCCCAGTTCGGTTTTACTCTACGTATATCAACCATTTTGGGGTTGTAATTTGGAAAACAATGGACAAAGAAGTGCTGGTGTACAGGATAAATTGAGCAGAAGTGAGACAGGACGAGGAAGTCCTTGGTCCGGGAGAAAAGTGGAACCCAGTCATCAAGGACAGGACACCCAGGCCATAGCAGGAGAGATGGCTAGGACAGGGCCAGTGAAAGGCAGAATGTGGAAAAACAAGAAAAAGAGCAAAATTGAGCATCTTCTGTGTATTGGGCATGGTGCCCAGGTTTTATACATATGTTATGGAGGTTGAGATTGCTAAGTAAAGAAACTGGGTGAGGATGAAGTCATTTACTGAGATAGGGAACGTAGGAGGGGAAGCTTGCAGGGCTCTGTTATGTAAAAATGCCCAAACATAGCTGCTCCCAACTGCTTGCCACCATTGTTTCTCTTTCTACACCCGACCCTATTCTGGCATTTCTTCCCCATACTCCCTCTCTCTCCCTCTCTTCCCATCCCATTCCTCTCAGGCTGATTATGTTCATGATCTATGTGGATTGCTCCAAGATGTATTCTGGCTACAGCAGTGAATATTGATTATCTCTATTATGGGAATGGCTAAATAATTAGATGAGTCCATTGGGATCCAACTTCCTGTGACTCACAGACACAGCCTAAAGACAAAAAATGACAAGTAACTTCATATTACACTGAAGGATGATGGTTTTAATAACTGAATTATCAACAAAAATTGGGGAAAAATATGAACTTCTACACGGCTATTCTAAACATAGCCACAGTATCTCTTATGTTATACACCAGAATCATTCTGGAAAAAAAGAGAGGGGGAGGCTTAAAACCAATGAAGACAGATGCTCATTTGAGTCTTTTCATCTGCTCCTGGTAAAACATTTCTGAGTTTCCTTTCAATAGTTACAACCTGAGTGTGAATAAGCATAGACAGTGTAATTATTCTGAGAAAATAGAAGTAAAACTGTATTGTAGAAGAATGTACTTGCTTTTGAGTGATCTATATTGCTAAATATTTGCAAAGTCTGGTTAGACTTCATTAGCTTGTTTTATTTTTGCAAATCTCTTAAGCTATTCAATCTCCTTAGAAAGAGGTTTATAGCATCCTTCTGTGGGCCTTTTACTCAAGAACCATAAATTAGGCTGAACGCACACAAGTAATAAATAATACTGACTACTATCCATTTGTACCTTAGGATCCAGAAGAGAAACAGGTACACTGGTAATTTATCTGGAAATTTTGAACTTAATAGATGAAATATGTGTGCATGTGTGTGTTTACTTGGTGAATAAGAGAATTGGATACACATCAGAAAGAAGATAGAGAAATTACCTTTTACCCTGTCCCAGAATTAGGTTTCTGTCTCCTTCTGCAGATGACATCATTTAAAGCCTTAAATATGGTTGTCATTATGTCATTCAGAAAAATTCAAAAGTGAAATTAAGATGAAATGGGCAATGCCAAAAAAGATATATGACCTTTCCTACTGAGAAGAAAGTCAGATGTTGACATATGTTGGTGAATAAATTATATTTTCCCACCATTACATTTATTAATTGATACTAAGACTTTAAAATTGCACAATACAGGAAGGAAAAATGTTAGATTTCAAAGGATGTTCCCATGATTTATGTAAACTTATGTACTAATCTGAACTTAAAATGACTGAGCTTCCTTTCTGCTGTTGTCTGGGAAAGTATTTAAGGGAAAATAGCTCCACAGTGAAAATGTCTTCCAATCTGCATCAGGGCACACAGGGTTACTGAAAGTAGGAGTTGGACAACTGGCGTGTTTTATTCCCTGTTAATTGAGTTAGTGCAGAAGGCTTTTTAAATTAAAAATCCTCCTAGATCGGCAAACAAAATGTACCCTTTTTTGTGTTATAACTATATTTGGAAATGCTTTGCTAAATGGGCTTTTGATTCCTTCACCTGAATAAAGATGAAAAATATTTTCAGTGTTAAAAAACTTTTAAAAATAGACATTATGGTTACATGTTCACCTTGAGGTGATACGAGCGATACACATTGGTAAAAGTGAGAACTAGGAAGAGATCAAGAACATAGAGAAGGGAACAGAATTTCCACTGGACAGCTAAGCTTAGGGGTGATATTCCAGGAAACCTCATGCGGAACCACTTTAGTTTTTTAGTTTTACCACCTGCCCCTGGCAAAAATTTCCAAGAGGCTTTTTGGTACTATTAGCATTGTCTTTTAAAAAATATGGTGAGTGTGGTAATTGTCGTCATTTCCGAAAGATGAGTAATCGAACAATAAAATTGTACATTCGTCGAGCCTCCTCTACTTACACTTTTTTAAGTTTATCACTTAAATCTTTGAAACGTTGTGACTTCTTAGTTGTGTTCGTTTATTTTCTTCTCCTTTTATAACACTTGATACATAACTGCAAAAGAGTCTTAAATCTTAATTTGGAGACTTAATTTTGGTTTTATTAACTATGAGTGCACTTTCTAAAACAAGAGGTCACAGGAGAGTGTGGAAACCATTCCTTCCTTTTCCGTAAACCTGTCGACTTTGAACAAGCTTAGTCAAGTGGGAAGTATTACATGAAAGCGTTTTCTGTTGACAGAGCATTGGTATTTGTAGTGTTACTCTGTTATCTGTAGAGTGAGGGATTTGGATTAGAGCCTCTCCAAAGAACATTCACATCTTAGATTTAAAGATTTTGTTTACTGTCTATGAATAATATAAATTCTACTCCTTCCTCTGGGTCCAGACAAATGCCATCCACTTCAGGCTTCCTTTCCCAATCATTCAAGGAGCTGAAAGGGATTTCTATTTCCTCTTAACTTGTATAGCATTTTGAATGACCACATTCTGATAATTCATTGTAATAATAATGATCACGGTCTGCCTCAGACTTTGATTTGCTTTAGTTGTATCTAACCTGCTATAACGTAAGCATCCATCAGGCAAGAACTTTGTCATGTATATTTGTTTTCCCTTATCCATAATAATTGGGAAATAACATGGGATCAATAATTTATTAAAATGTTGTTTGTCTTTAACATTCTATTTGCAAATGTACATTTAAGTAAGTACCTTTTCCCAAAGAGACGCTGTCATAACTGAGGCTAGGCTCGCAGACCTGACACAGGCTGATGATCCTTTTTGTTAACTCCACAATCCCTTCCATGCAACAGTTTCTTACCACTCCACCCAGTCATCTCCTGCTGTTTTTGTAGGGCCAATGTTTTTTTTTTTTTTAAATAAACACGGTCTCTGCCAGGCGCAATGGCTCACGCCTGTAATCCCAGAACATTGGGAGGCCAAGGCGGGTGGATCACAAGGTCAGGAGTTCAAGACCAGTCTGGCCAAGATGGAGAAAACTTGGCTCTACTAAAAATACACACACACACACACACACACACACACACACACACACACAGACACACACACACACACACACAGACACACACACACACAACTCAGGCATGGTGGTGGGCACGAGTAATCGCAGCTACTCAGGAGACTGAGACAGAGAATGGCTCAAATCTAGGAGGCAGAGTTTGCAGTGAGCTGAGATCGCGCTGCTGCACTGCAGCCTGGGTGACAGAATGAGACTCCATCTTCCCCACAACAAAACAAAACAAAGCAGAACCGGGGTCTCATTCTGCTGCCCAGGCTGGAGTGCAGTGGCCTGATCACAGATCCCTGCAGCCTCAGTCTCCCAAGTTCGGTGATCGTCCCACCTCAGCCACCTGAGTAGCGGGGACTACAGGTGTGCACCACCACCCATGGCTACTTTTGTTTGTTTTTATGGAGTTGGGGTTCTGCCATGTTGCCCAGGCTGGTTTCAAACTCCTGGGCTCAAGCGATCCACCCATGCTGGGCTCCCAAAGAAGCAGGATTACGGGCATGAGCCACCACTCCCAGCTGGGTCCACTCTTCAAGTGATCTTCTGTCCCAAAGGTATCCTAGAAATAGATGATTGTGGAAAAAACAAAATGTCTTTTGTTTCTTTGATGCGTCATTTATGAAGTATGGGTTTCAGTTCAAAACTCACGTATGTAACGAATGTAACAACAAAATCACAACTTGCTGTCTACAGTGAACACGGAGCCCTTCCGCCTATGAAACAGCCTCGTCTCCTCTTCTTGGGCTGTGTCAAGTTCCTAAGAGTTGGCACAGAGTCAGGGTGCTGCCAGGGAAGAGGCACTGACATTGTTGCTATCCTTTCGTCTACCTCAACACCGAAATACTTTTTCTCTGACCAGCTGAAAGGCCCAGGTCACGTCCCTGCATCCGTGCTCTCTCCTCTTGTGCCCTTCTCCAGCGGGAGAACACTTCTGCATTGAAGATGTTAATTACTAAGTAGGCAATTTAAACATTCTCGTTAATCATCTATTTCTGACACATTTCTGTGATTTCTTAGTGTAGATTCTCAGGACCGTCTATTATTGGATACTTAATGCAACGTTACGCCCCCAAATAGAAATTCCTTCCAAGTTGTGGGAAAGTGACAATGTAATGTTCTCTAGTGGCTTCAATAACCTTACTTTCCTAGGAACACATGCCTGGCCCAGTTCGACTCTGAACACACAGTTCTTTCTTAAACACCAGCGTATTATTTCAATTCATTGAAGCCATTTTTATCACACAAGCTACCCAAATGAAAACAAAACCAATGAAGTATAAAATTGGCTTTATGAAAGCAAAGACTTTGACTTTCTTAAGTGACTCACTGGAGGGTATAAATTTTGAAAGACGATTTGGTACAGTAAGAAATAGTATTAGAATAATCCAAAAGCATAGAATTTGTTGAGCTCCTCAAATGAGATATTAAGGAAAAGACTTCATACACTTCTGAAGTATACAGAAAATGGTTGATTTAATGAGGCAGATATAACTAACGGAATGTCATAGGTAATGACAGAGAACATATGGCTAGAAAGAGAACAAGAGAAAAATAATGGTCAAACAATGAAGAAAGTAGTCTTAACCAGGATTCTGCACATTAAAAAAAAGGTGTCAGATTCTTCTAGTGCCATCACCCAATCTTAAAACAGCACTGTATCTACTATCCAGTCATACTTTTTTTGTTGTTCAGAGAAGTAACATGTTAAACATGTAGTTTTGTATGAGTGCATAAATGTGCAGTGATTTCAATATGGGTATAGGTTTTCATTTTAACACCTGAAAATCAAATGCAAGAGAAGGGAAATAACATTTCTTTAACACAGTGGAGATTTCCCAGTTATTTTATGTAAATGAAGAAGGGAGCAAATATGTAAGACCTGGACAAGGTCAGAGTCTGAACAATCAATTACCTTGGCTGCAGCAGGAGTCCTCTGGGTTGTCATTTGCACCTGAAGGCTTGTGGCTGAGGTCACAAGCATCTGATTATCTGGAATAATATGTTCTTAGTCAAATCAGGGAAAATTAGGTAGACATATTCATATCATTTTACCTCATTATTTTCCTTCATGCACCTGTGCTTAGAGTGACCCTGCTTTTTGATGTTTTCAACATGTCATCACAATTACAATCATGCCCTGAATGATAATAACCATGTTTACAGATGGCATCTATCCCTTGTGCAGAATGCTCAGCATTTCATGTTCTGGAGCTGCTTTAATTCTTAGAAAACCCCTAAAAGATGGACATTATTGTTCTCCGTGGCTAAAAAAACTTGTCTGTCAAAATATATCCTAATTGAATGCGACTGCTTATGTCTTCCTCAGGTGGTTTTCTCACATGCTGTTGATCTAAAAGTTGTCCATTTTTGAGCACCACATTCAGCATGACCTACTCCAAGAACCTCTGCTTTTTTTTTTTTTTTTTTTTTTTTTTTTTTGAGATGGAGTCTCACTCTGTAGCCCAGGCTTGAGTGAAGTCGCGAGATCTCAGTTCACTGCAACGTCCACCTCCCAGCCCAGGTTCAAGCAATTCTCCTGCCTCAGCCTCCCGAGTAGTTGGGATCACAGGTCTGTGCCACCATGCCTGGCTAGTTTTTATATTTTTAGTAGGCACAGGGTTTTGCCATGTTGGCCAGAGTGGTCTCAAATTTCTGACCTGAAGTGATCGACCTGCCTCGACCTCCCAAAGTGCTGGGGTTACAGGCATGAGCTACTGTGCCAGGCCACCTCTATCTTACTCTTCTCAAAGATAGTGTGTGTTTTCCTTCCTTAACATGTCACCATTCTTACTCCGTTTGTACATTTTCACCTCATATCACAGGTAATTATATCACACACGAATATATGCATGTATATGTACGCATTTCTTATGAGGACTCCTGTAGATGTGATGAAATGAAAACATAGCTGAGTGTTTTCACATGTCAACTTTGTTACCCAGAAGTTCGTTACTAACACTGTGATCACCATATAAGGGATTTTCTGGACATGACACAGATCACACTTGGTAGAGATAGAATGTGTTTATAGTTTGATAAAACTGTTCATATTTTGGATCATCTTTAGCCAACTGCTGCTAGAATTTTGTTGGGAATTGCAGGATTGAATGGTATAAATGCTATTTCTTTAACTGCACGTCAACGGCATGGCTGTTCCAGTACATTCTTTGAATGCGAAGTTTTCTTTATATTTTAAGCAAATGCATATTATTCATGTGTCTTGAGCCACACGTGGCTGACATATCATTCGTGAAATTCTATACTGTATTCTGGTGTTAATATATGTGGCATATAAAGAAACACATAAGATGAAAAGATAAATCTTGATTGCATCATACAATTCAGTGTTGTTGAATAATGAATAAAGATTGTTGCAATTTTCTTGGAACTGTGTTTTGTTGCCTTTGTTATCAAAGCCGTTGTTTCAAAGACCAGTGTGTATGCATATTGTGGGTAGACTTTCTCTAAAATAAGTTAAGTTTATTTTCTAGCGAATACAAAACTTAGGCGAAGATTGATTGATGCTGATGATTTGACATTATCCATCTTAAAACACATTAATTACAAATAAAAATTGAACACCTCTTGTATACTCAGTAATATATCACTGTAAGAATTCTACCATTTAAAAGGAGGAATAAGATACTGTTGCTATACCAGCTACCACTTTTTACAGCCCTTTTATATTCAGAAAGTAAAGGCAGATACCACCTCTGACTCTTCTCAAATAATTGTATATTCACAATTACAATCGAAATCTTTAAAGTAGACAGTGTTTTTGGGAGATGGAAGAGTTAAAGCAATGACACTATTTTGGAGATACCTGTGGTGCTGTAGATACATTACGTTGAGGGACAAATATCATTTATGTTTATATAAACATAAACATCTGTTCACTGTAAACAAGCAATCTCATTAATTTACAGTCCCATCTCAAATCATGTAAATAAAGGCAACTTACATATTTCAGTTTTAGAAATCAAATTTTAAAAATTGTAAGTTATCACAGACCATTACTGTCTTTGGATTATATGCAAACATAAAATAGTGACTGATTGTATTATCAACAAATACACATTTCGGGGAACTACCTTTTCGGAGACATTGAATAAGGGAAAGTCAATGAAGTTTTAAAAGTACTCTGGAATCCCCAGCAATCCAGAGGGCTTGCTTCTGTTTTTCTAGCCAATTTGGGGAAGAGCTATAAGTGAAACAAGATAAAATCTCTTTAGTTGCATATGGTTTGAGAGGTTCTTCAGGTAAACAGACATAAGGAATAACATCTTTTATATACATAACAGATGTAATATGCTTGTAGATAAGCATGTAAGTAGATGTATTTATAGAACTGGGCTTTATATGTTCATATATACAGTGGGGACTGGAAACGTAGGCTTTGTTAATGGTAGAAATCTCTAGGCAAACGTGTGGGAATGGGATAGTTTGGAAGGAGAACTTCTACTTTATACTTTGTGTTCATTTCTTTTCTAACTTTTAATAATTTTTTTACTGTTATAAAAACAAAATTTTAAAGATTAATAAACAGCCATCACTGCACTGTGTATGACATCATGTCTGCTATAAAGATTTGTCAGGAGATTGTCACTTTGCCTGCATTTGAAGCTGTGTTTCAGATGTTTTTGCTGAATCAGGACAGGAGATAAGAGTGGGAGGAGATAAGCATTTCGTCACGTGTTTCTACAACTCAAACTCTGAGCAGTTTTGAAACAAAATGGGTTTCCAGACCTCTTAGAAAAAAGCGGGGGGACATAGAAATGACTCAGGGCAAGTCTACCTTTTATTATTTGGTTTTCGGAACATTTGGCCCCTGAGTTTCTCAGTACAATGGTTATGTAAGAAGCTGATAAGATTTATAAAGGAATTTCCTAAAATTGTAGCAGCATACTTTAAAATAACTCAAATCTTTCTGGAATTTTCGTTCATGCTTTTATTACTCAAACTTCAGTGTTTGATTGAACCTTATTTGATTTATCTTGTGATACACCCAAGATTAGTCAGTCAAATGGACTGCAATGCAATATTTAAGTAAAAATTTTCATTTATCTCCTGTACCTCAAACGTTTTAATTGGTATTTGAAAGATACCTGTAAATATTTTAGAAAAAAATGTGACTTTTCTGTGAAATAAAATTAAATACCTAGGTGGTGAAGAACTTCAGCATTATCAAATGTATTGAACATAAAATGTTTGCATAGATGAGATAGGCTTTCATGTGCTTCTATGTTTTGCACATGAAAATTGAAAGTTATTTATAATGCATTCTCTCTCTGTAAAATACCTTATGTCTAACTCCTAATAAAACATTCAACACTGATTTCATTTTAAGAAAGTAATCTTAAAGATGACTTCTGGGGCTGGGTGAGTTGGCTCATGCCTGTGATTACAGCACTTTAGGAGGCTCAGACAGGAGGATTGCTTGGGGCCAGCTGTTTAAAACTAGCCTAGGGGGCAGAGTGAGACCTCCCTCTCTACTCCCCCCACCAAAAAAAAAAAAAAAAAAAAAACTGAGTGTAGTGCTCAGGCCTGTAGTTCCAGCTACTCAAGAGGCTGACGTGCGAGGATTGCTTGATCCCAGGAGTTTGAGACTGCAGTGAACCAAGGTTGTACCACTGCACTCTAGCTTAGGTGACAGAGACCCTATCTCTTAAAAAAAAAAAAAAAAAAAAAAACCTTTTGATTAACGAGTCAAATTATTAGGAAAAAAGTTTATATTTTAAAATGATAATAGATGTATATATTTTCATTAATATTTTTAATTTTTTTTTTTTGAGATAGAGTCTCACTGTGTCATCTAGGCTGAAGTGCAGTGGCATGATCTCGGCTCGCTGCAACCTCCGCCTCCCGGGTTCAAGTGATTCTCATGCCTCAGTCTCCCAAGTAGCTGGGACTATAGGCATTCACCCCCACTCCCAGCTAAGTTTTTGTATTTTCAGTAGAGAGGAGGTTTGAGCATGTTAGCCAGGCTGGTCCCGAACTGCTGACCTCAGGTGATCTGCTCGCACTGGCCTCCCAAAATGCTGGGATTATAGGCATGAACCACCACACCCGGCCAGAATTAATTAATTTGTAAAATAATACATTGATGTGATAAAATTCTCAAGCAGCACAAATGTATGCAATCAATTTTTCTTCCCTATCATTGCATGGTACTACCTATCTTTCCAGAGAAAATGCTAAAGTTGGTTTTGCATCTTTGAAAATTACATATAGATATGCATGTCAGCAATGTTATCTGTACATGTCTTTATATCCATAGAAATTATAGAGGGAAATGAGAACAGTTGCTGAGATTTTTTTTTGTGAGTAACAAGATGAACAATGATTTTGTGCTGGGGGAAAAGGGATAATTAGATATAGGTGTGAGTGAGAGCAATCCTCTGACTCCTTATTCATTGTATAATTGCATAAATATGTAATGATTTATTTACATGCTTCCCAGTTAATAGACTTTCCAGCTGATTCCATTTTTCTGGTTATAGTACCAATGCTGTGAGCATCTTATAAATATATACAATATGTATAGGTGCACATGCACATATAGGTAGGGCATATTTCAAAAGGTTGCTGGATCAAAAGATTTCTACATTATTAATCTAGAAAGAAACGTCCAAATTAGCAAGAAATTTACACCAAAGCTGCACTTTAAAGAGAATGAGTTCCTCTTTTCCAATATCCTAACACAGTTAAAAACAGTGTTTTAAACTGTTGATCACTGCTATTTTAGATATATTAAGCTTCTTAACTCTTAGGAAAATTAAGTGTATACCCCCCATGTCTAGGCTGGTGAAGTGTGCAGGCCAGGATCTTAATTCATGTGTGGAAACTGTAAACATATATTATTACTCCTTATTAAGCTTGTTAACTGTTGTGTAGTTGATTCTCTTTTGGGATCTCATTACACCATCCTATCTTTCGAAGCTGCCTTCTGTATTAGTGCCTTTAATTTTCACCCCTGAATTTACATCTCTTCTCAAAGTCACTATTTGTAGGCTTAGGATTCTCCATTAGTAACACAAAACTGATTTATGTTCTCTATTTACTTATTTCAAAACCTAACTAAATTTAAACCCTGCCTTTAATAAGCACACATTTTCATAGTACGCACTCCTACCAACTTCCATTTTGCCTTATGGTGCTGTTTTACTTTACCTTAAAACAAATATGTAAGTATGTTAATAATAAAGAAATATGTATTTTCAGCAGATAGTAAACTCATACTTCAAATATACATTTTCAAATGTATGCATATATGTATATAGCTATCTCAGCTTGTTCGTCAAACGGAAGAAAGTAGGAAAACATAAGAATGTTAGGAAAAAGTTAGATGAAAATCATTACATTATTAAATATTAAGTAATAAACGTACGTGAAATAAGTTAGTAACCCACAAAGTTGTATAGTAATATCTCACAATTTCTTTAATTTTGAATAATTATATTTAACGTATTGATTACCAAGGTAATTTTGGCAGCAGTGAAAGGTCATTTTCAATTTAGTAGTTGTTTAATTTGTTTAATAGAAGCAATATATTTCATATAAAGTATTTCAAATAAATGAAATTTGCAATGTGTTTAATAAAATGGCTCATTTACTTAATTGAAATAATCTTTACCACAGCAGTAACAAGGTGATATAGATGATTAATTGATTTGATTGATTAGTGTGAACCATATAATACAGATGAAATAGGATGGCGCCAATAAGACCTATATCAGCTAAGATTACTAAAAAGAATATAGTTTATTATTCAGTTCTGAAATGAAAATTTGCCCCAAACGTCTAGGACTGATGAAGCGCTCATGACTTCACATTAATTCATTTACGGAATCCTACACCATATATTGTTACTTATGCATACTTAAACTCCGTTGGTCTTTGGTAATCTAATGCTTTCAAGGGAACGTGATACAGATTCAGATAATACACCTTTCAATTTTGAGAATTAGATCTTGAATAATAAGCAAATCTTTTGATCCTTCAAGCACTTGTGATTCAGGGCACATGGTTTGGACTCATTTGTAACCAAATATTTGCAGGTAACTGCAGGTAATCTCAACTGAGTATGAAGGCCGCAAGAGTTTGCATAAGTGGCTCTACCTGCAGGAATTCCAAGTAAATACTACTCCATGGGATAATGTAGGTATAAAATAATAGGAGCATGATTCAGCACAATGTGACTGTGCAGGGCTCCCCACACTCCCGTCAGCTTAGAGATGGAAAGTAAAACATGTGAAAGGAGTGGGACTTCCACCTGCATCTTCCTACAGCCAGGTGCTGTGGAACCCAAGCGTTGGTCCATTGCCACATGTCCCAGTTAACATTCAGCGTCATGTGGATGGGTAGAGTTTAAGTATCCACCAACTTCAACTGTATTTATAATTAAGCTGCATGCTCCAGTGAGAAAGGGGTGATGCAGGACAGAGTTCAGAGACTGGAGATTTGGTGCTGCTTCAGACACCACCTCCATGAGCATTCAGGAAAGCCCCAGGTCTCTTCAACCTTAAAGAACTGCACTCTAAAAACAAGACGGCTTGGGTTGAGATTATTTCAGGAGTTTCTTGCAGATCGATCTCAATGTTTATGAGTTTTTTAAGAAGTCAGCAATATCTAAATCAGGAAGCACACTCAATTCTTTTCTGAGTGCAGCGTAGTGTGCTAGAAACAGCAGGAACTTGGAAACCAAAGAAGCTGAGTGTGAATATTGGCTGTTCCTTCATAGCTAAGAGGCTTGGAAGTATTCCATGCCCCCTTTTAAATGCAGATCAGACCACTTTATTGGGTTTCTGTCAACATTTATGAGAAAATACATGGAAAACACTTAGAGAATTACTTTAAGCAGGTTGATGTCCAAGCCTGAGAGCCGGCTTCTCAGGTGAGACCACTTGAATTCTACACCAGTGAGGCAGGTGAACTAGGGGCAGACCTGCACAGTTTTACAGACAAGCCCATCAACCAAACACGGCCTATGAAGTTCCCATAGAGACAACTCAAAGATCTCTGTCTTCACACCACAAACATGGAACTCATTGGCAGCCTAAGCAAGTATATAAGATAGTAGAATCTTATTCTATGCTAAAGGTCTTATAAATATTAGGTTAAACTCTACGAACTCCTTTGTGTGACTCTGGGATCTGGAAAGGCTTGGTGAACAGAGGCTGATAGAGTATGAAATAAAAACATTTTAAACCTGATAGTCTGCTCAAGATATCTGCAGAAACTGTAATATAAATATGAAATAAATGACAAAAATACATACGCGGCTATGTTATAAAAATCTTGAGAGGAAACTTTTCATGTAATTAACTTTTGGTGAATGTTTCTGATTTTACGGATAATCATGACTAGAAAATGTGGCTCACTTTGCTAGTCATGATTACAGTAAGTTGTTCACATACAAGGATGTTAGCAATACCTTAAAATGTATTTTCTTTTTAAAACAAGCTTATTTTTTTTCTCTCAAACTAAATAATCATATTTCAGTTACTTAAAAGGAAGTTTACTTTTCTCTACTGCCTAATTTCAGAACCAGTTCTTCAATTTGATACATTGGTCAGTCATTGATTTGATTTGTTGAGACAACAAAGTTTTGCTTTGTTTTGTTGGATTGGATTTGCCATTTCTAAAATTCCCCTAAAAGAATTCTTTTGGGTAGCAACTGTAGGATTCATTTTTTCGGAAATTTGTTCTTCCATAGCCTGTCCCATTAAATTACCTTGAGGAAAAAGCACTGAGTCTCAATCTCAGGGATAGAGAGAATCAGGATAGTCCTAGAAAGCTGAGCAAGAAATTCAAATTGCAGCACTGTACACTCTAGGTAAGATTTGGAAGCAACCTCAGTGTCCATCAACAGATGAATGGATAAAGAAAATGTGGTTCTTAAACACAATGGAGTACTCTTCAGCCACAAAAAGGATGAGATTCACTCATTTGCACCAACATGGCTAGAGCTGGAGATCATTGTTAAATGAAATAAGGTAGGCACTGAAAGAGAAATATCACATGATCACTTATTTGTGGGATCTAAAAATCAAAACAATTAAACTCATGGACATAGGGAGTAGGATGGTTACCAGAAGCTGTGTAGGGTAGTAGGAGTGAAGGAAGGAGGTGGTGATTGTTAATGGATTAAAAAAAATAGAAGAAGGAATAAGACCTATTTGCTTGCACAGCAGGATGGATATAATCAACAGTAACTGTCAATTTTAAAATAACTTACAGTGTGATCGGATTGTTTGTTACTTGAAGGATAAATGTTTGAGAGGAGAGATACCCCTCAACCTGAGGTGATTATTATGCATTGCATTTCTGAATCAAAACATGCCATGTACCCCACAAATACACACATCTACTCTGTACACACAAAAATTGAAACAGACTTAAGCACGTTTGATGTATAAATCAGGCAATTAATCTCCACAAGAAGGAGAGATTGACAGTATCCTTTTATAGTGACAAAAACAGATAAGATGAAAAAAACACCACAATACAAGGTGGGTATTAAAATATTTTTATTTAAGTATGAACTAATTTTGTCCTACAATAAGTTAATATGAGGCATAAGAAGCCTAAAGCCAGTGTCTGTAAGATGAGACACTGAAATCTAACTCTCTCAATATCTATGACTTCTATTTTTTATGCTGAAATGAAGAATATATTTAGCTCAGTTGGACATGTTGGTTTTATTCTTGAAACTTGGAATTATAAGATCTGTGAATGATCTTGATTGGGTCTTATATTTTAACAAGCTGCTGCGTATGAAGTTAATTCAATATGTTTGTGACAGAAAAGTAGATGGTGATGTGTGGATGTAAAGGCTAAGAATGTAGATTTTGGTTAAAATTCTAATTATTTTCCGTCAAATCTACATTTGACACACACTCCACTCTCAGGGTCACACAGTCCTAATACTTGGAAGGTGAGCTTTGGAGTCACACACCCTGCCCTGAAGGTGTTCGGGACACGGTCTGTCTTCTATTGTCTTGTTTAGCTGTCAAAGGTATGGTACTTTTTATTGTAGCCACATGGCCAAGACAGATCTCAAGGCAGCCACAGCCCCACACAGAGGCACCTCCACTTGTCAGTAACAACTCGGGTGACCTCACAGGAAATCCCCTTCCCCCAGGGAGGTGGTAGGCTAGCTTCCACCATTCACTCATGTGCCGTGAAGAGCAGATTCCATGATTCCTGGAAGGGAGCATGACAGCCATAGGAAAATGTTTTGAGTGTTGAAGGAGGCAGGCAGTTAAGGTTTCAGTTTTCCTGGACAAATCATATCATAACAGGGCTTCCAAAGATTTTCTGTGGAAACCAGTGATAAGTTTAACAAAACTAGACAAACTCTGGGCCTGCATGGTGACTTCTTTGGAGTGATATCACACTGCAGGAACTCTGAGTTTTCTCCTAATAATTAAATAAGGCCTCAAAACTCCATAATCCTGCATTTTACCTGTGTCACATTTGGCTGTGGAACAATCATTTGTGAACAGTAGGTGGATTAACAAAGTACTTATAAAACATACATTTTTTTCAAGGTTTAATTTTCCAAAGATCAGATTGGCTGATGTACTTGTGTATCAATTTATATTCCCTATTGAAATTGTTATATTTATAAAAATAATATATTACTGATACTTTAAAATACAGTTTTTCCTTATTTTTAGCATCTACTGTTAATGGCTTCCATTTTTATTACACCGATATATTACACACAAACTATATTAGACATTCAACAGTATTGGCTTCTTAAATGTCTCCAAGAGTAGACAAAAGTATGCAAAATATGAGTTAGATTACATCATTTTTTCTATAGGAAATAATTGGTTTTAACATCTGTTGTCACTTTGTCATGCAGAGTCATGTGCTGACAAAATACAGCATTTTCTTGAGGAAAAAGATGTAGTTTGTTCTTGCGGTTGCCCAGGAGACAGCTATGGATGGTTGAGCCCTGGTGAAGTAGGGCTTCATGGGCGGTGCAGGGTCTGGAGTGTGGAAAGGGTGTGTATTTGACAGTCTAAGAGCTAAGTCCCAAAATCACCGGATGAGCACTGTCAGGGGCATGAAAACATTTGTTACTCTTTGTTCCTTTCCAGTCAAAAAGTAAATCGGGTTTGTGATATGTCTTCCCAGTTGTTACTCTGTCTTTAATTGGGTGGAAATTTTGGATTAGCTTCATTGACTGTAACATGAACTTCCTCCTCCTCTATTGTGTTTTAGTCAATGTTGGGCTGCTCTTAAGTGCTTCATCAGACAATTTTGCTGGGTTTTCTTTTTGTTGTTTCTTTCCTTCTGTTAGAGTGTGGGGACTTCATAGGATGGGTCACAAAGCCAAGGGCTGAGTTCAAAAAGTGGCTTGTGCTGCCAAACACTCAGATTTAGTGTTCTTAGATCCAGTTAGTTAGTTAGAGACAGTCTCATGCTGTTGCCCAGGCTGGAGTGTAATGGTGCAATCTCAGCTCACTGCAACCTCCATCTCCAAGGTTCAAGCAATTCTCTTGCCTCAGCCTCCTGAGTAGCTTTTACAGCCACACCCTATGGAATTAGCTGGGATTACAGGTGCTCATTACCATGCCTGGATAATTTCTGTATTTTTAGTAGAGACTGGTTTTCACCATGTTGGCCAAGCTGTTCTCAAACTCCTGACCTGAAGTGATCTGCCCACTTCAACCTCCCAAAGTGCTGGGATCACAGGCGTGAGTCCCAATGTCCAGCCCCTAGATCCAGATATTTAAAATTCCTTGTCATATCTTTGAAAAGAATTGAAGCTGTTAATCTTGAGGCTGAAGAGAAAATCACTTCCTGGAGCCCACAGTGAATAAACCTCAATTCTACAAGTTTCCCCCTTTTTTGCTGTGTTCTTATCCTGACTTTTGTAGGATTGTCAAAGAAATGGGGCTGTGCCTGTGTGCTTTAGATTCCAGTCTTTTTTCCCTTTTTTTCCAGATTCATTAAAAGTATCTTGCAAAGGACAGAGGTAAATAGACACAAATTTTAAACTCCATCTATAAATTCATAAAGGTGTAGGAAATAAATGTTATTTTTCAATCAAAAGATGGGAATTTTATATATTCACATGCCAGGTGAATGACTGCAAGTGGGAGAGTGTAGCTCTTTCAGACAAGGGCAGATTTGAGCATAAAGAAAACTGGCTTTATCAAATTTGTCGTTTCCCATTTTAAGGGCGCTTTTCATCTCTCTGTTGCAGCACATGTCTGCTTCCACAAGGTTTTTCTTGCCGGCAGGGGGATCTGGGGCTGCCTTGGGAATGAGGGAAACACTTGGCCGCGCTTGCAGATAGCCAGTGCGTTGACCTCGCAGGGAATTGCCTTTAATGTGCCCTATTCCTGGTTCAAAGGTTGATTCTTTTAGTAGAAATTTATGTAATGATGTCATGTCCATGATATTATGAGTTGTATATAATAGCAGTCCCCAACCTTTCTGGTGCCAGGGACCAGTTTCGTGGAAGCCAGTTTTTCTACGGACCAGGGTGTGGGAGGAAATGGTTTCGGGGTCATTCAAATGTAGTACATTTATAATGCACTTTATTTGTAATATTATTATATTGTAATACACAACGAAATAGTTATACAACTCGCCATAATGCAGAATCAGTGGGAGCTCTGAGCTTGTTTTTCTGCAACTGGTCAGTCCCATCTGGAGGTGATGGGAGACAATGACAGATCATCAGGCATTGGATAGTTATAAAGAGTGTGCAACCTCGATCCCTCATATACGTAGTTCACGACAGTGTTGACGCTCCTGTGGGAATGTAATGCTCCCACTGATCTGACAGGAGGGTGGAGCTCAGCTGGTAACGTGAGCCATGGGGAGCAGCTGTGAAAACAACACAGCCTCTCTGGCTTCTGCTGCTCACCCCTTGATGGGCAGCCACATTCGTGGCTCGCGGTTGGAGACCCTTGGTATACAACAGAGTGCTAAAGAAATCTAAATTGTTGGTTGGTTTCTAATCAATAACCAAAATTACTGCTTGGCTTCATATATTTTTATTTCCTCTATGGCCCTGGTTTGAAATCTCCTGTGAACTTTCAGGAGT
Source organism: Homo sapiens (assembly GCF_000001405.40). Lineage (NCBI taxonomy): Eukaryota > Metazoa > Chordata > Mammalia > Primates > Hominidae > Homo > Homo sapiens. The sequence continues at coordinate 4,432,714 of NC_000008.11, read as the reverse complement.
TAAAAGCACAGGCTCTGGAGAGAGACGCCAGGGTTTGAATCTTGTCTCTCCTGCTCTCCACCTGCATGGTCTTAAGTCAGTTATTAAGGATCTCTGAGGCTTCGTTTCCTCACCTGCAAAAGGAGTGAGCTTTACTGCCTGTCTTTAAGTCATAAGGGTGTTTTATGGATGTTGTGAGAATACAGTGTTTTCACACTCCGAGCATTTACCAGCAGTTAGTAGACACCCCAAGGAGGGTAATTGATACTTGAGTTTTTGTGTCATTAGTCCATTTCTTTTCACCAGGCTCCAAATCTAGGAAATCAACATAACATGAAACCTGCCTTAGTGTAGGTTAATCACTAAGTTCATAGCCAGGGAAGGGGATTCTACAAGCAGTCCTTTGAGTAAGTTACTTAAGCTGCCTAGTCTCTGGGCTCTTGCCTCATAAAAACCTACACCTGGAAAACAGTTAAGTTCCTGTGTGAGTTTACTGTTTTCTCATAACCCATTTGACAAAATTTTTAAATTCCAATTTTACTTTTTCAAACTTCGCAATATAATTGCCAATCATGTTTTTATAATCCATGCATGCTTTAGCAAGGATTTATTTTATATAATCACCTTTTTGAACTCAATAGCCAATATTTCTGTATTCTAATCCTGTCTGTTTTAGTCTGTGAGCACTACCAAATCTCCTTACACATTTTTGCAGGCCTTTTGAGAATACATTGACAAATATAATGAAGTGCATAAATGTAAGTTACTGCCGTGGCTTTTAAAACAATACTGTGTTTATTTGAAGTAATTCCCATTTACCCAATTGTTACATATCATTCACATATTTTAATAGTATATATAATAAATTTTATTCCACCAAGAAAATAGGCCCACATTTCGTAGTACTTTATCTTGGATGTGTATGTTACCAACTTATTAAGCATTTGCTACATTTCTAATACATGCCAGGTTACTGAAGTTTGGTTTCAAAATTGTTAGAACAACAATTGATTCCATTGTCTTAATTCTGCTGTCAGGATTTAGGATTCTTTTGTTTCATTCCTCTATCTTTTCTTCCTTTCCAGTTAGCCTCTGTTTTTTGTTTGTCTGTTTTTCGTTTTGGTTTTGGTTTTTGCCACAAAGAGGTAGCCTCAGAGCAAAGTTTTGAAATGGGGCCGGGGCTGGTGTAGATTATCAGGGTCGGGTGTTATAAAGTGTAACTGAGTAGCAATTGGTCTCTACTTGGTCTCTCTACTTTCTTCTCTCTCTGCCCTCCTCTCCTGACTGTGTGCTCACTCGCTCTCCTCTCACCTTGTTCCTCCTTCAATCTAAGTTTGTGCGTATGGTTCTAAGTGCAATGAATTCCTCCCAACTATTGGTTTCAATTTTATAGACGTTAGGTTCACCCTTAAGAAAATCACGAAGTAAAAATACAGTTTGTGAGATATGATAAAATAAATTTGCATATTATTATTTAACATCTTTGAGCCATTTCACTATTTTTTTAATGTTGTTGAGATAATGAAAACAGACCTGGAATAAACTCTAGGGGTCACTACCTACTCCCCTCCCTTGCCTTTGAGCAAATCATTTAGAGCCTCACCTCTTTTTCTACAGTCATGTGGTCTGTTTAAGATTAAATATATTAACACTAATGATCATAGAAGAAAATAAAATGGACACTCCACGAGTTATTCTGAAGAAGCACAGGTCTTATGCGAAGTCTTTCCAGAGAAAAGTGGCATAACTGAGGGGAGAAAAGATTGAAAGGACATCTTGATATAAAAATTCTAGTAGTGAATTTTACACTGTTAAGATAATTTATGGATCCTTACCATTCAGGAGAAGCTGGTGCTGATCACACAGAAGGCAAAGAGTGGAGGGGACAACACTGGAGTGAAGTATTTGCAGTGACAATTGACAGGAAAAACGCTGTTACTGTTTTAATGTCATTTGTAAATGGTTTGATTGTCATAAACATACATTATGTGGATGCTGTTTCATGCTTGGGGGCAAAATCTCTTTAGATTTTTTGTTTCCGATAGTCTATTACAGACACTGTAATTATAACTTGCCCAAAATAACTTGGTGCATTGATTAAAAAAAAGAGGATCAGTTGAATTCTTGACAAACTTGTCTAGAATGCAATTTGGGGAAAATTTATTTTCTTCCCCAGAGTAACTTTTATTAGAGAGTAGTGTCTATCAGAGTGTAATTTCTTAGGAGGAAATTTTTGTTTAGTGCAAATTATGATATACCATGTCTATTAAATCACCATAACCAAATGAAATTCCTCTCAGGGTCCCGGGAGAAGGTAGACTATGTCATAACCATGAGGTAAACAATGATATATTTGAATAAACTGATAAGCCTTTAATGATGTAAGCCTTTTAGGAAGGAAAACTATCAGTTAAAGCAATATGCAGTGGTTTAACTGCAATATTTTTTCAGCACCAAAACATAAGATGTGATTTTAGAAAATTTCTTCTCCGACCCAGTATTCATGGCATGAGAAAGCTGGGGCCTAACTCCTGAGATAAAGGGGCACCTTGCTTAGGAAAGCACACGTAGGATAGATTCTGACATAGATTTGCTTTGTGGAATCAGCACATTTAGCTTTATTTATAAACCTCACTTCTGGGATTTAAACATTAAGTTTTGTTTCTGCTTTTATACTTCCTGGTTGATTCTGAAAACTCAGGCAGTCGATTTCATTTCAGTGGGAAGGCACTTAAGGAGACCTCATCTTCCAGCTCAGCTTCCAGTGGATTCTCCCCTTTGCCTCTTGTCTTTTTCATTCCCTGATGGGTGACCACTGATTGAATCCCCAAGTCTTGGCCAAAAATGGAGGAGAGGATTCCCTCATTTCATAGAACTTAACTGAATGGGCGTGGATTTCTTCCCGAGCCAATGAGATCCTGGGTATGATGGGAGGGGATTGCCGGTATATTTCAACAAATACGGGTGGAGCACTTCTAGAATCTCAGCATACGGCTGTGGGTTACAGGAGACCCACTTCTGCCCTCATGGAGCTCCTGTTCTTTTGGGGTATTGGGGTCCATCTCTTGGGGTACCCAGCATGAAGGGCCCTCCTCTGTGCATTCGTTTCTCTCTCTGGAATAGTCTCTAAACTTTGACTTTCTTTGCCTCCTAAATCAGTATGGACCAAATCCTTCTGTAATGAGTCTCACGCTTTTGCAATTTTCTGATCCAACTTGAATTCTACAAATTATATAAGCTAATCTGTTTCCCAATTGACAGGAGGAGTTGCCAAAGAACCAAACTGAGCCACTGTTCACAAAACATTGTGTGAAAGGAGGATGCTTTTTCTTTGTCCGATATAGTTTGTATATGTAGATGTGTGTGTGTAAAATGTGTGTATATCTATGTATACACACATATACACATGTAAAGCTCTTGAAGAGCAGTGAAGCAAAATTGATGAGAAATTATTCTCTTCAACAAGAAGTGATAGGACTGTTGAAATCTCATGATGTTTTTAAAACATAACCAGATATTCGTGTAAGGCAGGCATGATCCTTTTAGAATTCTATCCAATTATATAAATATATATTATATATAATAATCCAATTATATATCAGTTTTCATAGAAAAAAACTGATTACCAGTAGTAATCATTTTATGATGGACATATATACTGAGACATTGTATTGTACACTGTAAGTATGTAAAACTCTTATTAAAAAAATACCTAAGATAAGGCCGACGTGCAGTGCCTTATGCCTATATTCCCAGCACTTTGGGAGGATGAGGCAGGTGGATCACTTCAAGTCAGGAATCTGAGACCAGCCTGGCCAAATGGTGAAACCCTGTCTCTGTTAAAAATGCAAAAATTAGCTGGACGTGGTGGTGCCTGTAATCCCAGATACTCAGGAGGCTGAGGCAGGAGAATCCTTCAACCTGGGAGGTGGAGGTTGCAGTGAGCCAAGATCACGCCACTGCACTCCAGCCTGGGCGACAAAGCTAGACTCCTTCTCAATAAATAAATAAATAATACACAAAATAACCAAATTTAAAATGAACCCTGGATTATTAATATGACATTATCAGCTATTTTAATAAGCCCTAAAAGTTCTGTAGTTTCCGTGTTTCCTAAAGGAACTTGAGCACATCTAGTATTACTGAAAGTGTCATAAGGTAAGTTGCAAGTTTATTGTAGGAAAATACATGTTAACATACTTCTGTGTGTATACCTGCTCTGACATGTAGAGAGAGATACACATATGCCAGGCATGCAGCCTTTTTACTCCAGAAATTAATGTGAAAAACCATTTCCATATTGCATTAGCAAATCATTTAGGTATTCCTATTGAACTACAGCTTACAAGGAAGATAACAAGCTACCTAGAATTACTTTTAATCCCTAGTAGGTACTAGATGATAGAGAAAGGTGTTGGGACTCGTTAGATGTGAAGTAGTTGTCTTGGTACAAGCTGTCCTGATTTTCCTTGTATCAAGTTGATAGTCTCCTAGTTGTCTTGTGTTTAGAATGTGTGGTTCAGTGGACACAGTACAAGTGAACATGGGTTTGTTTTCCTTTTAAGTGAAGCCAGATTCACATAGATGTGGTGGGTGCTTTGGAGAGGAGGAAAACAGGCATCAGAGATGTATCCCATTCACTCTTGATATTGTCTGATATGAAAACGAGACATGTAACCTTCATGTCTTAACAATAGCAATGAAAGGCTTCAAGTACAGTAGCTACTTGGAATATCTTTACTACTGGGCCAATGAGGTGTCACAGCAAGGAGTCAGAAAAACATTTGAAAACATAACTTTAAATAAAGTGCCTTAAATAAAGGGCAGTCTGTGCCCTAGAGACATTATATTAAGTAGTGATCCCTGACTTTAAAATTCAACAGGGTTTTAAGAAAAAGAATTATTCAATAGGTTAAACATGCATATATTTGTATGGGTTATACATTGTGATAAAAATCTGTAATTGAAGTTTCTATTGAGAGATTTATATACTTTATATTAATAGTTTCAAATTAGTGATATGCTGAATAGAACAGAAAAATACATAAATGTAATAGGTACTATTTTCTGAGGCCAAAAGTTAACGTATAAAAATAATGTAATTATTACATGGAATTTACAATAATTTTTACTTCGAGTCTCTCTCCAAATGATGGCGGACATTTTAATCTGGTAAGATGTATATATACTCACATGATTCACTGTGTGTGTTTGAGTGTGCATGTGTGTGTGTGTGTGTGTGTGTGTATTTGATTAAGTCTCTTCTGAACTTTGCCTGCTTGATTGCATCTTCCCCGGATGGTATCTAAGTCCAAGAGAGTTCTATGACCCCAAGGTACCTAGGGGTTGATAAAGCACCTGGTTCCAGATCACCCTCTGCCGTGTCCTGACACAGTTTGACATGTAACTCACTGCATCCAGTATTTTGTCAACAGTACCAAGACCTGCTCACCAAGGCCACATAACTCAAGTGATCTCTTGGACTGAGGACCATTCAGGGCACGGCGTGTGCCTCTCTTGGGCTCAGGAATCGTTAGATGGTCCCTGCACACCCATCTGGACTTACCCATTGTGTAGATTCTGTCCTCACCACCCCTACCTGGCAGGAGAGGCTTTCTATAAGGATGGTGACCTCCCAGGAGCCACAGCCACCTGTGCTCTTTGATCTCCCAAGCTCTCTGGGGCTGTTCCGTCTACACCAGTTCTCGTGGGGACATGATCACTGATCACTTCTTGATATCTAAATTGTCCCCATCCCTAGACCAGGCCAGTCTTATCCAGTGACCGAATACTTCTACCATAATTTCTCTTCTATATAAAATAAAAAGCTGAAACACCTGACATCTGATACTAATACCCCTTCCCACTTTTGAATTCTGCTATAATATAGTACATAATATAGTATACTATGTATCATGTAATATTACATACTATATTTCTATATTATATAATATCATCTGTATTGTAATATAAAATATTACTATATTACTATATTGTATAATAAATGTATATAGTAATAAAATATTACTGCATTATATAATAAAAATATTACTATATTATATAATAAAATATTACTATAAAATATGAATAACAAAATATTACTATATTATATAGTAAACAATATAATTTATAGTATATATACTATACTGCACATACTGTGTATATATACTATACTATAGTAAATATCCTATATATTATACAGTATAAAATACTACAGTCTTTATAAAATATATAAAAACTTTACTATATATGTCATATATATAAACTGTAGTCTGTATGTTTACTATATATGCTCTATATAGTATATGTTTATGATATTGTATATATAGTATATAAAAAGGTTTACTATATATACTACATACAAAATATATAAAAAGGATTTTCAAAATTATATGCTATATACTACATAATTAAAAAAACTTTTTATATCTACAACAAATTTTGGATGAATTCTAGAACAGAAATTGGAATAACTTATAAAAAATAAGTTATTTTACTGGAAAACTTGTCCGGTAACTATAGATAAAAGGCTTCTTAATTCACAGATTCCAGTCTATTTCCTGATTACCTAGCCTCTGTATATGCTGTCTGGAAATTAATGTCAGTCTCTCTGTCACATCCATAGGCGATAAGATTTTTTTTTTTTTCAAAATAATTCCTTTTATTTATGGCCAGTTTTCTTCAGTAAAATTTCATAATCCCTTGGAGATTTGGAAAACACATTTTAAAATGTTTAATGTATACCTCTTTAATTTTGGGCTATGTCTACCTCTCTAAAATGAAGATACTTTAGCATGCTTGTATTTTTTGTAAAACACTAAAAAATTACGATAGGGAGTAACATATGTCATATTTTGTTGAAATATTCAAAGTTTATCAGTAACGTTGCATATACTAAAATATTCCCGTACTACCCTGGACCATCAAATATGAATGACAGAAGGAAGACTTGCTACTGCAAGACACCTGTGTGGATTATTGGGATTTACTTCAAAATCCATTTTACTTCAAAATGTTTCGTAATTTACTATGTGTTGAAAATAAGCCAGTTGCTTATAAGAAGCAGGGATTCCTCAAAGTGAGGCAGACAAGAATAAAATGTATCGCAAGGGCCCTCATGGAAAGGATACTCACAGAAGTACTTTCATGTCTTCAGGAGCACATTTGTGAGCCACCAAGGAGTGAGTCTTGCCAGCTCCTTATAAGATTCCTTACTCGCAGCCAGTGTGGAGTAAATGGCTATAAACATTTAATCACAAATTTAGCTCTTGAAAGCTCTTTATGATCAATTGGATCCACTCATCCTTCCGCATCCCTGTCAACTAATGTTGGACTCTATTTTTTTTTTTTTTTTTTGGCACACAAATAAGAATGAATCCATTTCATTGCAGCTATTTGAAATCAGATCACATGCATATATTTTCCCTACATACGTCCATATTAAATTACCCCAAACCTCTGAACAGTAGTCTTATGACACTCGTTTTAAAAATCCCTTAGTATCTTGTTCCTACTTCCTGAACTAATATCATTTGACCACACCCCTTCGTAATCACAATTTTTTATAAAACTTAATAATTTAAAGGGACATGAAATTGTATTTAATTAAGTGCTATCACATTATTTTGTACCTAACTTAGGCGAATATATATGTAAAACTTCAAGATGGGCAATTACTAAATTATCCTCAATAGTTTTTGTTCAACTTACTTTTAGAATTTAATGTTTTGTTATTAAATAGCATTATTTTGGTTACTAGATTATTTTAATCTTAATATGTTCTTGAGTACCTCTCAGTCTCAACCTTTCCAATGTATTTAATTATTTAATGTGAGATCATTATAGATTCACATGTAGTTAAAAGAAATTATACAAAGAGTTTCTGTGTACTGTATACCAGTTTCTCAAGTGGAAACCACCGGCAAAACTATGGTATAATAATTACACAACCGAATATTGATGCATTATGGTGAAGATAGGGACAGTTTCCCATCATGAGCATTTCTAGGGCAAATGCAGAGAAGAACAATTGTTTGGTCAGATGGCAGTTACGTGTTTCGTTTTTAAAGGAAATGTCAAACTTCTTCGGAAGTTTTCTGTTTTCTACAGAAAATGGCTGTACCATTTTATATTTCCACCAGCAGTATAAGAGCAACCAATTTTCTCCACGTTCTAGCCAGCATGTGATGTTGTCATTATTTATTTTTATTTCAGCTATTCTGATTGGCTGAAATATCATGTGCGGTATTTCTCTGTGGTTTTAATTTGCATTCCTCTGATGTCTATTGATGTAGAGTAAATATTCGTGGGCTTATTTGCCGTCTGGATGTCCTTTAGGTCACCTGACTTTTCTGCTTGTTGCCTATTTTCTAATTGGATTGTTTGCCTTTTGTTGTTGAGTCTGGAGAGTTCATGGTATATTCTAGATACTTGTCTTTTGTCAGATATTTGGCTTGCGAATGTGTTTTCCCAGTCTGCAGCATACACTTTTATTCTCTTAATGCGGTCTTTTGCAGCCAAAGTTTTTAATTTTTATGAAATCCAATTTATTAACTTATCTTTTTCTGGTTTGTAATTTTGGTGTCAAGCATAGAAACTCTGTCTAGCCCTAGACTCAAAAGCCTTTCCCCTATTTTTTTCCTAAGAGTCTAATTGCTTTACATTTTACATTTATATTTGTAATCCACATTGAGGTAATTTTTATATAAGGTGTTAAACTTACTATTTGCTATGGACATCCAATTGATCCATCATAATTTGTTGGTTTATTCTATGCAATTTCTTTTGAATCTGTTGAAAATAAATTGGAGATATTTGTTCAGGTTTATTTTTGGGTTCTTTGTTCTGATCCATTGACATACGGGTTTATGTCTTTGCCAATCTGCCGATACCAAATAGTCTTAACCGTTGTAGATATAAAATAAGTCTTGAAATCAGGTGAACTGTTTCTCCTGCTTTATTCTTCTCTCGCAAAATGTTTGAGCTATTCTATTTTTTTTTGTTTGTTTGCCTTCCCACATAAATTTTAGAAAGATCTTGCTATATACCCAAAAATTCTTGCTGGGATTTTGGTGGAAATTGTGTAAAACCTGTGTATCAGTTTGGAAGTAACCTATATCTTTACATTATTGAGTCTTCCATCTTCCATACTATTAACATGGTATATCTGTCCATTTATTTAGCATTTCTTTGAACTTTTTCTTCAGTGTTGTGTACTTTTCTGTATACACTGTTGGGCTTATCTTATTGTATTTATACAGAAGCTTTTCTTTGAGCTGTTGTGATTGATGTATTTCAGATTTTGATGTCAACGTGTTCATTGCTAGTATGTAGAACTACAATAGATTTTTGTATGTTCATTATGTGCCTTGCACGTTTGATGATATCAAGTATTAGCTCTACAAATTTTCTTGTAGATTCCTTGGCATTTTCTATAAAGATCATCATGCCAACTTCAAATAGTAGTAATTTTATTTATTCCTATCTGACCCATACGCATATATTTTCTTTTCTTGTATTATTGTATTTGCAGGATATTCCAGCACGATATTGAATAAGAATGTTCAAAGCATTCTTGACTTGTTCAAATTTCTTGACTTGTTTCCAGTCTTAGGCAGAAGCATTCAGTCTTCAACCACTAAGCAAAATGTTATCTTTAGGCTTTTTTAAATTTTTTTTATTTTTGTAGAGATATTCTTTGTCAAGTTGGAGAAGATTCCTTCCAATCATATGTTACTGAGAACTTTTCTCATGTTCAATGATTATTATTGTCAAATGTTTTTTTCTACATAGATTACTATGATCTTGTGATTTTACTTTGTTAGCCCATTAATATTGCAGATTATATGGATTAATTTTCAAAGATTGGACCTTTCTAACATTCCTCTAATAAACACCATTTGATCATCGTGTATAATTCGTATCTTGCCTATTTCTATTTTCTCTTACTTGGTTAAGGATTTTTGCATCTATATGCATGAGAGACATTATTTTATTTTTCTTTTTTCTGTGTTTATCTGGTTTTGATATTAGAGTGTCTTAGTCTCTTTAGGCTGCCATAACAAACTACTATAAGTTCCAGGGATTAAGAAATACAGGTTTATTTTTTCACAGTTCTGGAGTCTGAAAGTCTGAGATCAGGGTCCAGAATAGTCAGTTCCTGGTGAGGGCTCTCTTCCTGACTTGTAGACAGCATCCTTCCTGTTCCATGCTCACATGGTCTTTTCTCAGTATGTGTCCAGGGAGAAAGGAATCCTTCTCTTTTCTTATTTTTACCGTATGCTTACCCTATGGGATCAGAGTCCGAATTATTTGACATCATTTAACTATAATTACCTCTGTAAAGCCCCATTTCCAAATCTAGTTATGTTGGGGGTTGGGGCTTCAGTATATGAATTGGTGGGAGGAGCATAATTCAGCCCATAAGGGAAAGGGTAGTGTCAATGCCACAAAATTACTACAAAAGCATTCTATCCACTTACACTTTCTGGAAGAGACTGTGTAGAATTAGTGTTAATTCTTTAAAGTGTGTACGACTGGTGTTAATTATTTAAATGTAGAATTCTCCAGTGGGAACATTTGGAACTGGAAATTTGGGGAAAGTTTTAATAGCTATAGGATAATTCATATTATGTATTTTTTCATTGGTTAGTTGTAATAGTTCATTTGTTTGAGTTAGTGACCCATATTGTCTTAGTTGCCAATTTTACATATGTAGTTTCTGTAGTAACTTTTATTATCTTTATGATGAATTCTGAGTTCATAGTAATATTTGATGTTTAATGACAGTGACTCTTTGTACCTTCTGAAACTCCCAATTATTTAGTCAGTCTTTTTCAATTTTATTTTCCCAAAGAACTGGCTCTTTCATTATTTGTTCTTTTTTCTTTCAATTTTATTGATTTCTGTACTTTTCTTGTTTTTTGCTTTCTGTTTGCTTTAGTTTTTTTTGTTTTTTTCTTTTATAGTTCTTGCAATAAGAATTTGGATTAGGGATTTGGGAGTTTTTCTAAGCTGTGTTTTTAGTGCGACTAATTACCTTCTCAGCACTGCTTAGCTGAGTCTTACAAAGTTTAATATGTTGTATTTTATATTTTCATTCAGTTTATCTGTATTTTTATTTTCCTTGAGACTTTCTCTTTGGCCCCTGGATTATTTAGAAGTGTGTTGTTTATTTTCCAAGTAATTAGATATTTTTCTGTCATTTTTATCTTACTGATTTCTAATTTGATTCCACTGTGTGGTCAGAGAACACACGCTATATGATTTCAGTTATTTTATATAGTTTGAGGTTTGTTTTATGGCCTCGAATATGGTTTATCTTGGTATATGTTCTGTGGGCACCTGAAAGAAATGTGTACTCTGTTCTTGCTGGGTAAAGTGTACTATAAATATTGATTAAATACTGTTATATAGGGTTGATGAGTTCTGTATTCTTGCTGGTCTTCAGTCACAGGAGAATTTAAACTCACTGTTTTTTGTTTTTTGTTTTTCCTTTCTTAAAGCAACGTTTGCTTCACTGACTTGTCTTCTGTATTGCGTTCGCTAACACATAAAGTACAAAGCAGTGTCTTCTGGTATGACAATGGTTTCTTTTTCCATTCATCAGTCATTTACTCCTTCATGTGAATGCACTGTCTGAAAGTTGTTTGGATTGGCATCCAATGGGAAAAAATGAACAAATGAGTCTCTTTAAGGGGACTGAATTAAAAAATAAAAGCAGACAGCAGATACTGCAGTTTACAAAGATGAATACAATTTGAGAGTTGAAGATCCCCGTGAATTGTACCAGATAAGAAAGGTGATAAACCAAAAGACAGGGAGGGAGGAGGGCTCCTAGGAGGGTGAAAGAGGACAGACCAGGCTTCACAGCACAGGAGTTTGTGGATTTTATAACATAAAAAATAAGCTACTTACCAGAATGTGGGTATTCTCAGCATTCTTATGTTGGGAGTCCTATTGTGGATCACAGAGCTGTGTCAGCATTGGTTTGCCCTCTAGACGGCTCACAGCCTATTGCACGGGGCCTTTGCTATCCTGACCATCTCACTCACTTTTCCTAAGAGCACAGCTTGGAATCCAACTGAAACACAGATTGTTTCACGACCAACTCAGTGGTTTTGCAATACTTTCATGTTTGAGTGCACAAATGTTTATACACACATTCACATGCTTTACCTGTCATATTTTTTATTAGAAAAAAATTAAAAATAGTGAATTAGGAAAAATAGATAATGCATGCTGGGCTTCATACCGACGTGATGGGTTGAGAGGTGCAGCAAACCACCATGACGCACCTTCACCTACCTAATAAACCTGCACATATTGCACATGTACCCTATAACTTAAAAATTCAAATAAAAAAAAAAGTTGGCAGTAGATAATTGCCATCCAAAAACGAGGAGCATTTAAGACAATGGCATATTATATAAGTAAGTATTTTCAAGAAGAAATTCTCTCAAGTTATTTAAATAAACATATTCTCATACTTGAAAATGTTTAATTTCAAATACTTAACAACCAAAGCTATGTGTATGGATTATCTAAGTGTTTAATGCCATATTTCAAGTGAATATACCACTGTTCAAGTTATTCAGTGACTTCATCAAATAAGCTTTTTTTGACAAATTCATGCTTTTAACTCTCTTTGTGTCTTGTCTTTTAAATTTAGATTATCGGGATTTCAGCTGCCCTCCTCTATAGTGAGTACAGGATCTATCCTCACTCTGTGGTTCACGACAGACTTCGCTGTGAGTGCCCAAGGTTTCAAAGCATTATATGAAGGTAGGAGATTGGTTGTGTTTTGCACATGCATTCACTGTCCAAATGATCTAATACATGCTACACTGGATTAATAATGACAAACTAGGCTGCTATGTCGCAGGTCGTTCCGTGGTGTAGACATTTGGCTTCTGTGTAATGCAATGGCATTTGGTAACACTGTTATAATCGCCAAACTTTCCAGCCCAAAACGTGTTCACAATTTTCTTCTTATCACTAGAACTTTTCTTCTTGGGGTTTTGTTTTGGTTAATTTGTAGCGAATAAGTTTTGAGAAATTTGACTATAAACTAATAGCCCTCTTACGTGGTAAAGAGTTCATTTTTAATGCAGAAGAGTTTCATTAAATTTTTGGTTGGACAATTATACTGATAGTGCTTGAGTAAAGGAAATTTCATTAAATGAACTTTTGTTGTCAAAGCTGAAATTTTTAAGAGAGAAAATTAATTTGCTTTTACTGTTGTTTGATCATGCAAGGCATAGAGACTTATTTGTTTTCATGTCTTCAGATTTTGTGCCTAGATACCTTTGAGGTATTGCTATCATTATTAAAACGGCTTTTGGCAGAAATTTTTTTTAAATGCAGAGATAGAACTTTGGAAAAGGAAATTATCATTTCAAGTATTAGGTTTTAAGAAATTGAACTAGTTAATACTTTAAAGGCCGATGTGTGTCTACTTTTGTTTTGGATGGAGATTTTAAATTGCCTTTTACACGTAATACAAGAGCTACTGTCTGTAACAGAAACTCTGGAGTCTGTAAATTTAAAAAGCAATCTATCGTTAGGGGTGTAAACCAATTCCTATTTACAACACACACTGTTTACTTGGGATGTCATTTGCTACTAAGTCACAAATTATATATTCTTACTGGGAATACTCTGCATTTAGGCAAAAATCGTATTTTGTGGGAAGTTAAAATATACACGTGGTTTGTGCAAATGGGTGGCTGTAGTGAAATTAGCAGAAAATTACAGTGTAGAAGGTTCTCTTTGCAGAGACATAGGAATGGACCGACTTATCCTTTTGCTTAAAGTTACGTGTGGAATAATGCTGAGAATGGTCTGCGATTCTGCCTCTAATGTCTTTCATGCCACCGCATTTGTGCATAAGCCAGCGTCAGTGGCTGGAAAGGGTCTATCACCTTTAAGTACGTTACTATCAAGGAATAAGTTAATCTTTGGAAAGCAGCAGGCTAATTGAAGATCAGTGGATGTTATTAGCTTTCAGTTTTGATTGTATCATTGATGATATCAATGTACCACTTCATATAAACTCTAAATTCACATCATTTCATTTTTTGCAGAATATTACAAAAGCATCTCTAAAGCAATCCATACCAGCTATATGCCAGGCATATTTTGTCCTGTTAACATACAATATTTGTTCAGAAAATAGATAATGCTTCCACATTTTAGAAAACTTGGCATTTTTTTCTCCCCTCCTGATGAAGTTGATAGCTGAAAAGGTGGTCTTGTTAGATTCCCAAAATTAATGTTGTGAAAACTCCATCGCTGTTGAGAAATCACTATATGAATAATTCTATCAAATATTTCTGGGCTATTTCTGGGTTTACTGGTGGTCATGATGGTATAATGAAGAAAATAGGGCAAGATTGTCTATGTTGGAAAAATATTTCTTTGTTACTCCAAAAGATCAACTGAAAAACTTTCTAGAAAATGGAATAGGGCCATAAGTTGAGTAACTTGGATTTATTTTTTAATGTGGCTATGTAGAAAATGATTTTGTGGTATTTCGATTTGAAATGGTGATATTATAGTCTGATGTTGACAAGTGAAGACAAACCTCTATTTAAAAGAAAAAAACCTGTCAAAAAGGTGCTTTGTTGGCTAAACCAAAATTGTATCTAGTATTTAGTATGTGTGTGTTTAAATCTATTTATCAGTTAGCTTCCAGGTCTCCTGCAAAAATGAGTGTGCGTTATTTGGAGAAAAATTATCAATTATAGTCTTAAGTGGAAGAGTAAGGTAAGATAATCTAGAGTAGAAGAGAGCTTTTATAGCAATATTTATTGCAAGTACCAAATACTTTACACATAAACTTTAGACAACTATTACTTTCCAAGGAAATGTCATGGGAAAAGGTCAGAATTTATTAAGAGTGCATAAAATAAGCAAATACACCAATTTGTACATGTATATATATGTATATGAAGTAGAATTAATGATAATAATTAGAAAAATGTTTCAAGTTGATTTAGAGTCACAAAATTCTCTTTCTGATACCTCAGATTTCCTCTTTTCCCATTAGTTTTTATTTTGGAGAGACTGCCCACGGATCCTGTTATTTGACCCACCAAGTAATTGGTATGAGTCAAATAATAGAATAAAATACTGATGTATAATCCAAGACGTATAAAGGCAACTGGATTTAGATATAAAATGAACTTTCATATTATAATAAATTCATGTTTTTTTATTTAACTAAAACATGGAATTGTGGTAGTATTAACAGACTGCTGCATAAAATTTTAATTGAAATGTATTGGCTTGAAAGGAGAAGAATCTTCCAAAGTTCTAAGATCTA
Organism: Homo sapiens; assembly: GCF_000001405.40. Lineage (NCBI taxonomy): Eukaryota > Metazoa > Chordata > Mammalia > Primates > Hominidae > Homo > Homo sapiens. The sequence goes on along the minus strand of NC_000008.11, from coordinate 4,417,410 downwards.
TGTAAACATGATAACCTTGGGAATAAACATAATCCGGACACCAAACTCAACTGTTGTCTGGCAGTACTTTGGAATAGGCTTTATTTACATAAACTATTATTCACACATGGAACTATTAAGCTACATAATGAGAATAGAAACAAATTAAAATAGTGTAATCAACGTGTTCAGTCATTGAATTTAACTCTGGAAATCCAGTGGGAACACTGATAAATTTTATACTAACATTGATTATTTACAGTATTTGACTTTCTGAATATAGACCTCAGCAAGTCTCAGCAATTAAGTGTATATATTCAAATTAACACATTTTAACTGCTAAATATAGAATAAAATTGAAGGTAGTAACTTAATTCAGTGTTGTAAGATTTTACTTGCTAGTTCTATACTTGGACATTAGTCTTAATTGTGAACCAACATAGTTGCATAGCTGTCTTTGACAAATTAATAACAGAAACTATTAGGATTACACATAGTTTATAATAAGATTACTATTAAAATTCCTAGATATGCCCAGTTTTGAAGTACTATGTCTATAAATTTTATTTGTGTAATGTTTCTTCTTTTATCAAAATCTCAAGTATTAAAAAATATTACTTTGTCATCAAGCTGACCTATGTTTTAAGAAAAACATCTAGGAAGTCAGAAAATTGACATGAGACAAAGGCTGACACATATTAGACTTGAGGACATTGAAGAAAATATACGGACTGGGTGATACACGGTCATCTAAAAATTGTTCCCCAAAGAGCCTCTCTCTCTGATGTACTTTATATATTTTTCTCTTTAGATTTTAAAAAGGAATTCTTCTATTTTATAATAGTTGCCCTTATTAGTAAAAACGTAAGCTAAATGTTGGAAATGCGTGCATCTATTATCAAAACTCTTAGACTCAAAATGTTCATTATTTTGGTTCTAAAGTCTAAATATCAATTTTAATGCACGTGTTTATTATGAATATAATTTCAAATGTTTTCTAAAATATTTGGGAAATCATACATGGACTTCAATAATTTAAATATTGGTTATATTTTTAAAATCTAGCTTTTATGAATTATATGCAATAATTTAGGTTGACTTTTTAGTTCATTTTATAAGTAAAACAAGGTTTTTCGGAAGTTAATTGTATTCTTTATGATCCAGTAGCTTTCGGAAAATAGAAGTTTTGTACATAATCCAACCTTTCTTTGGATAGAAAGCAGCAGCTCTGAATCAAAACAGTGACTCCGGTATTTATTAACTAGAATCACTACTTGCTTTGTATAGAACTTTTCTCCATAGTGTAAGGCAATTGTACAGATAGGACACAATTTTTCATAACAATTGGCAAAGACTTTATTCATGTCTTTTCTTAGGAAATCTTCACGGAAATTGTCTAAGTGAAATAAGGTGATCTATTATTATCACGTAGAGAAAGTGAAGTAGTTAACTGCAGTACTTTAGTTTCCCGAGATCCCATGGCTGCTAGGGAATGAAAGCAGAAATTATCCACATGTCTGTACATCTACAGAAGTTGCAATCCTTATACACTCACTGTTTCCTCTTGTATATATTACGTTTATTTACGTATACACACATACACAAATACATACTCAAAAATGCACATACATGTAAACACGTGTGCTCATACACATTGCTATCCATACTTATACGTGCACAAGTGTAAGTGGATACACAGATTTGCTCATTCATTTCTTCTCTCATTTATTTAATCAGCATTCACGGGGCCTCTACCAGAGACACAATACTGAGTTAAGTTACAGGAATACAAAGATGAAATGAATACTGCTTATTGTCAGTGACTAGTGAAGGAGAATGAAACAATCAAACAGAACACTGGTGTAATTGGTGTGACTCAATAGTCATTCCGGCTTTATAAAACAGGGCGGAAGAGCAAGGGAAAGAGCAGGTCTACGTGGGCCATGTAGAGGCCATCACAGAGTGGGCTCAGGCCACGACCTGAAGAGCGTGTTATTAAAGCACGTGCGCTAAATGCCTACTTTGTGTCAAACCCGGAATAGAAGGTCTCAAGGAAGAGAGACAACAGAAGGATCTTCCTGAGTAAGGAGGAATCCCTGCAGAAGCATAGAGAAAAACAGATGCCTGTCTTTGAGAATGCTTAGCAATGTGGTTTACAGGAGGAGGGGGTGCAGAAGTGAGGCGGAGTTGATGGAGGCTGAGTTCAGTGGGGAGCGGAGGCGGATGATCCTGAGCCTGGGTTCTCTGGAGCTCAGAGAGCCTGGAGCTGAGCCTTTCTGCCCTATCTGAAGGGTAGAAAATTGAGTTTACGTTATTTCATCCTTGCAATAGAAAACTTACTCCGTGAGATCCTTTGCAAAAAAAGCTGAATTACTTTCACTGGACTATGAAACGAAGGATAGCATTTTTGCTTGCCTATGCTTCTATGTGACAATTTATCACATTTTGGCTTTTAAGTGATAGTTATATTGTCCCAAAATAAATGCAGGGAGAAGACAGAACATGGATTAAATGAATTCTGAATTCCCAGAGCACTTAATGGAAGCCAGTAGATGGCACCTCATATGCCTACTCTCTGGCCATTACTCTTTGTACCCTTGAGGGCAATAACTAACTCTAAGGAAAATTTGAATCCTTGACACTTGGCACATGATACATACTCAAAAATATTTTTGGATAAAAATCTGAACTCAACCACAACTTAACTTTTTCTAGTAGTTCATATTTCCTCAAAACCTGAAAGAAAAACTGCCAGTAAGTATTGGTATTGAAAAATTTGAATTTGATTTTCTTTCTAGTGAACACACCCACGCATGCAGAAGTTTAAAAAAAATCACTGAATTGATTTAAAGATAAAGAGATTATATGATCTATAGTATGGATCGTAGTTTATTACTTATAAACTATGCATAAGCAGATCCTCTTAAAAATATTGCTCAGTATAGGATATGAAATTTAATCCTCACAAACAGAAAATGAGGGATCAGTATTTATTAATCCATTGAACATTTATTTTATGAAAGAAAATGGCCTACAGTTCTATACAGTCCTTGAATTTTCACCAGAGAAAAGTGAATCTGGGCTGCTAGAGAGACCTTTTCTTCGGGTTTCAGGAAGTGATTTAGGATGGGCGGGGCTTCCTCTTACCAGGGTGTCACTCTGTTGGCTGAATATGTGTGGCATTTCCCTCTGACACATCCCTCAAGCATGATTTTCTTTAACACCTGTGGATCTGGATTTAGAAAGAGCAGCTAGATTATTACTCTTCAAGCTCAAAGCTTTATTTAGAATGTCAGCACTGATTTATTTCTCCCTTGAAGTGATAACCCAAACTCCACCTGAATTAAAGCATGGAGCATGCATGATGCACCTGGCAGGATAGAAATGTTTCCTTTTCAAGAACGTGCTAGCACAAGAAGAGCAGCTGGCTCTCCATTAGCCCATAGTGTAACATTGTTGTAGATTTATAACAATTATAGAGCTTGAAACAAATGCAAAATTTCAATAATTACTTTCCTCTGGGCTAATTAGGTAACTTAGACTGGTAAACCCAGGTATCCTTCCTGTAAACACATTCCTTCCTCATTTCATAACAAGTAGAAGTAGGGTCCTCACCTTAGTTATCTCTAGGCTTAGTTGCCAGAAGCTACCGAAATCTCTCGTTTGTCCTCCATTTGCAGGGGTTTTGAACACTAGCTGTATTAGAACCCCTAATCAATGTTAAATGACATTGGAAAATACTCACTGGGTAAGTTCTTGGGATCCGCGGTACACCATTGCGTGTATAGTCAACAGTGCTGTCTTGTGCAACTGAATATTCGTTATAAGGGTAGATCTCATAATAAGCGTTCTTGCTATGATAAAATAATTTTTTAAAAGAATTAGTGCTGTCAGTACATGAACACTAACATTTTCTAAAAGTAGGGATATAGCAGAGATATAATTGCCTTCTGAAAGTACAGCTTTAAGACAATCAAGTCATTAGAAGAGAGACGCTGAACTGCCCTAAAGAAACAAATTTAGCTAATCTAGCGAGGCTTATGTGCTACCTGTGACTTCTAATGTGTCGGATAAAAGAATGAATGATAGAATTGGTTTGGGCAGCCCCACGAGCGTAGTTAAAAGCACAGAGCCCAAGGAGAAGCTGTGTCATTGAGGATCAGCCTCAAGGAAAGGAAAGCTTAGCCAGCTCACAGTTGCACCCTGATGGTTGCAGTCAACTGAGCAACCCTCCCTGGGATGTTTGTGAATTTAAGGTGTTAACTCTGATTATTCTGGTCCACTGTGAGACTGTCCATATTCTATATATCCATCTTTCTTAATTTGAGGGCCATGAAATATCTCTTTCCATGAAGCTGTGAAATTATATGCGTAATTTTGTAAGTCTATTTTTCTGGAAAGAACATTGTATAGACTTCAAGTTGTCAAAAATCTCATAACTACTGAAAAGATAAAGATGGCTTCTGTCCATTGATGATACAAGTTCTGTTAACCTGAGGCGTCAACTTTTCTTTTATCTGATTGTTGTCAGTTATCTTATGTCTTTCTTTTTCTTGTTCTGAATTCCTTGTTTGAGCAGGCATTCTTCCATTACAATTTGGTTTCACATACAGGCCTAGAGTGAGTTAAATAAAAATAATAAAACTGTCATATCAGTATAGGTATCAATGTAAGTAGTCTAATTCCTATAAGCTGTAATTTATTAACTTTTCACTATGTCTTTATATGTTGGTTACGTGAACTTAATATACATTTAACCCTGAAAATCTTAGCATCAGAAAATCTAGTTTCTGATTCCGTTGGAATAGACCATTGCAACTTCATTAAGAGAAATTCCACTTGTGAGGCTGTATTAGTCCATTCTTGTATTAGTATAAAGAAATACCGGAGACTGGGTAATTTTCCGATAAAATAGGTGTAATTGGTTCACAGTTCTGCAGGCTGGACAGGAACCGTGGTACTGGCATCTGCCCGGCTTCTGTTGAGGCCTCGGGAAGCTTCCAATCATGGTAGAAGGCAAAGGAGGAGCCAGCGCAACACATGGCAAATGCGGAAGCAAGGGGAGGAGTGAGAGGTGCCACACACTTTTCAGTTCAATTTTGGTGAATCTTTTGCGCTGTGTCCAGGAGAGCAACCGAGAGGATGGTGGTAAACTATTCATGAGAAATCTGCCCCACCATGATCTAGTCACCTCCTACCAGGCCCTACCTCCAATACTGGGGGTTACAATTTAACATGAGGTTTGCACGTTGACAGATATCCGAACTATATCAGAGGCACATTGAGATATTTAGCTAATCATTTGCCCTGGCTAAACACACATGCACACACACGCACGCACTCTTGCACGTTGAGAAATATCTGAACTATATCAGAGGCACATTGAGATATTTAGCTAATCATTTGCCCTGGCTACACACACACACACACACACACACACACCCTTAGCTATGTTGCTGTGTACTTTTCATCAAAAATCGTAAGTTCTAGTACTATTAAAAATAATTCCTTTTAGTCCTATGTGTATTGACCTCAGAAGATGTGCATGGTACATTAAAGTGAAAAAAAATGCAACATAATTCCATTTTGGTAAAAATATAAATAAAAGTATTTGCATAGCTATGTGAATGCATATGCCACGTGATTCCATTTTGGTGAAAAGATAAAGTACTTGGATAGGTATGTGAACGTCTATATGTACAAATACATAGCACACATATATATATGCTTTCGTGAGCATTCAGAAACGTGTAGGAGAAAATGTGAATTGTGAAAATAAATTAGGTTTGAGAAGAATGGAATGAGCAGGTGGAAGGATTGCTGTATTTTTCTCCGTATAACTGTTATTTAGCTCATTGCAATGAGCACAGAAAAAATTAATTAATGAATACTATAGAGTTAAGAAATGTCTGATGATAATGTGGGAATGAATATTGTTAAGTGGATCTCTGGCTCTTAATTGGAATTTGAATGAAAAATAGAACCAAGTAATTAAAAGTCCTTTGCTGTGTATTTTTTCAAATGGTTAATGAATTCTAAGACCAGCACTGTGGCTGATTTTTTTTTAATGTAAGAAATCAAGGTGCTCTTGATAGAAATCCACTCACAGAAATAGTTACTTGTCTAAAAGGAATATAGTAAAGGGCAAGTTAACTCCATAGAGCCCATTTCATAATCAATTTTCAGTAACAAAATATGTATTAATTAATATTTGTACTTGATGGGTTTCCTAGTTCATTTTATGTTGCTGTGTTACCTGAGACTGGGTAATTTATAAAGGAAAGAGATGTATCTCATGGTTATGGAGGTTGGGAGATTGAAGATCAGGTGGCCACACGTGGAGGGGGCCTTGGGTTTCCTCATAAACGGGTGGAGTGGTATCACATGGTGGACCAGCAAAACGGGAAGCATGAATGCAAAAGAGGTAAGACACAGGGGCAACCTCACTGTATAACAATCCACTGTTTCAATAACTAACCTAGTCCCACTAGAACAAATCTAGTCTGAAGAGAAAGACATTCATTGATCTTATTGAACTTATAACCTCTAAGCCCTCCTCCTTCCAAACTTATTACACTGACAGTTAAATTTCAACATGTTTTGGTGGAGACAAACCATATTCAAACCATTGCAGAGGGGAGTCTCAACTCATGAGTTGTTATACTTTCATTTCTTAATATTTTTCATCTTAATCATAATTTTATCTTCTGTACATACTTCTCTCCCAAGATTTTTTTATTAATTTTTTTCCAGTATACTCTTGTGTCAGGGGCAAATTTCTCCATGTTTACATGCATATACATTACATTTGGTAATACATAATTTCAGATAAATGAAAAACAAAAATTGGTCATTATTTAAAATGAACTTCAATAAGCAAAAATGAGAGTGGATGATGTCTAATAGTCTCTTTCTGTCTCTCTTATACAGTAACTAGAAATCAGATGACTTTCTATTTAAACACCATCAAATATTGGCTATATACTATCTGGACGCTAGAAATGCAAAGTGTTAGGGAAAATTAATTTAAATATTTACATGTGGATAAGCACATGAATTCTGAGGTGTGGGTTCCATGCAGTTTCCCAGTCACTATGAGTGTGACCATTGTGCTGGTGACTAAGCGCTCATTACCTCAATTTGTTTTCCCTTGTGAAATGAAAAATAAATGGTACCTACCTTAGAGAGTTGGCATGAGGCTTACAGAATTAGTTACCTAAACTGTTTGGTTCAGTATCTGGTATAGAAAACTTTTAATTTCTCCTTCCATTTGGCCTAGATTAGCCTAGAAGATGGCTTCAAAGATTATAAAGTATGGGACCGGGTACGGTGGCTCATGGCTGTAATCCCAGCACTTTGGGAGGCCACGGCAGGTGTGGATCACAAGGTCAAGAGTTTGATACCATCTTGGCCAACATGGTGAAATCCCATCTCTACTAAAAATACAAAAATTTGCTGGGCGTAGTGGCGGGTGCCTGTAATCCCAGCTACTTGGGAAGCTGAGGCAGGAGAATCATTTGAACCCAGGAGGCGGAGGTTGCAGTGAGCCAAGATTGCACCATTACACTCCAGCCTGGGCAACAGAGTGAGACTCTGTCTCAAAGACAAACAAACTAAAAGTACGGTATTGTTATTTCTTCCAAATTATGTATGATATTACATTCTCCTGGAACAGTTATGCCCTGTGCTAATGTTCCTTTGCCATCTTGGGAAGCCTGTGTCCACCTTCTCCTTCTCTGTGCTTTGTCTCTTTATCTGGTTTATGTGTTAAAAAAAAAAAAAAAAAAAAGAAAAAAAGTCAAATAATGATGAATCTATACTCTTCTAAGTCAGAGTACACAGAACAAATTCATCCCTGCTGAAGTGTTGAGTGGCATGTTCTGAATTAACAATGAGCTGCCTAGTTACATATTTTGGTTAGGGTTACATTTTTATTGTTCTCAAATATCAACTTAGGTAGATAGGCATTCTTGCTGTTTTTTGTTGTTGATTTGTTTTTATTCTAAAATGACAAGAATATGGGGTGAAAATCACTGAGAAAGGGTAAATTATCTTTTGTTAGTCTGAGGCAATTCGAGGAGAAGATGTGAGAGAATGACATAGATTTGGATTAAGAGAAGAAAAAACACATATATTGACTTAACACAAAGCCGAGAACACTGGAAATAAGTAGGAAGTATGTAAGTTAAGGTAAAAATGCATTCGAATTTCATCAATCAAATTCATTTCCATTTTGTAGATAATTTTTTAAAAATCTCCCATTTGAAGGTCATTTTGTAAAATACAGGTATAGTACATTAAATATAATTTATAGCCATATGCAGATGCTAAACTTTAAAAAAGGCTTCACAGTCTGCTATCCAATAAATTCAATGCCGAATGTGCACCCAAATGACAAAGTGATACAGATATTTGTTTTGTCTTCAGAGTTCTTAAATCAGTCGGCAAAGAATTCACAGTTCATTTCCCTTTCTGAATTTGAATGCAACATGTAAATTTATGATTTCTGATGTTCTTGCTACCTAAAGTTGATGGTTTACTATCAAACAAGGATCTGTGTTTCTAAACGTAAGTATATTTTTCAAAGGATATGTTAGTCTAAAAGGTTTCCCCCTTTATTGTGCTATTTTTTTTCTTTAAATGGAGCCAGAAAAATGGCAGCTGATGGCCTCACCTGCACAATAGATACTCTGTTGACCTCTACAAGGTTCATATTCTGAGAGCTGGTCAACTATGGGCTTATTCTTGGTTTCAAGAAAATGAACTATTGATTTAATTGATCAACTTGAAATGGTGTCATATAGAGTACATTTTCCATTATCAGACATTTCTTAATTGCTTCCTTCACTTTTCATTCATTGGTGCAAATCAGAGTAATATAAATCTAAATAGGAAAATCTTTATGTCCAAGAATTGTTTAGAAGCTTGAGATAAAGAAGTAAAATTAAGCTATTAAAAACAGTCAATAATTCATGCAGTTATTTGTATTCTCCCAATTCTTTTCTTTAAAACCTGATCAATGGAGAATCCTTTCATAGGGTAAAATGCCTCTTTTTTGACAGTAGAGGATGATACGCCCTTTCCAGACAGCTTCCCAGTTTGTTTTAAGTAGCTTACTTGAAGACGTTTTTGACACTGGTTCTTTCATAATATAACCTTATATTCTTTCATATCCTCTGAGGAGAGAGAAACACCACCAATAAGGAAGGAGGAATGGCCTGGGGCCTGTCAACTTGCAACACTGATTTGTATACATCTGACTAAGCTTTGGTAGTCATTTAAATCACATGTGTACTCGAAGTTTCCATTTTGTTTTTCCATTCAGGCATAAACTTTTTGTGAAGCATGCTTTTAAATATTAGAATAATGGAATGGAAAGCTACATTTGGGGAGGGGAGGAGGGTGAGTAAGTGGACAGCTGGTGTGTGGGGACTTGCAGTTTTCTCCTGTGATTTTTGCCGGGTGTAGGAGGATAACAAATGGGAGATTTTGTGCAGGAATAAGATGCTGAACACGTTTCAGCTTTGGATGTGTTATCCATCTTAACTCATAAATATGAGCTTTCAACATTCCACATCTGATTTTTCATTTTTTAAGACTTTCACACTTGTTCAAAACCTTCTCATATGCCACAATACTGACATGTGTATCAAAATTTCTGTATTTACTTGACTGTTTTTAAAGGAATGCTTACATGCATGAATCATGGAAAAACTACAGCTATTTATGAATATCGTGATAACAAATTTAAATTTGTATGAAGTTCACAAAGACAAAGGCACTAATTAACTTGTATTTACAATGAATTCCAATATATTTAACACTGAAATTCCTAGAAATTTAAGTGAGGTATCATTTCATTTATACATTACTATATGAAATTAGCACAAGATATCTGTACTCTGAATTTAAACACTGTAAAAATACAACAGAGTACAATGAAATTTATTATATACAAAATTACGTTTTACAACATACTTTTGATTTAATCACATTTAATTCAATTGTTTGAATTTGCAGCAACCTAAACACAAGTTGCCTTCTAGCCTGTTAAACAAGAGTCATAGTAAAAATTGAGTTTTAAAAAAGTTATTGTATATGTTTTCATTTCATCCCTTATATATTATAGCAGTGATTTTATTCCTATGAAATTACTCCAAAAGTTAAGGTCATTTTTTAAACATTCCATTGACATCCTGTGGCATAGAAGAGCTGGAATTCAGGGGTGATCACTCTAAAGAGGACTGGCAAACTTCTTTGGTAAAGGGCCAGAGTTACTCTTTTGGCTTTGCAGCTCATCTGGTGTCTGTGGTAACTACCCAACTCTGCTGCTACAGTATGAAAGCGCCATAGACAATACTTGAGTGACCTTGGCCGTGTTTCAATAAATCTTTATTTACCAAGACAGGGGACCCGTAGCTATGGTGTGGAATCCCAACCCTAAAGCTAGAACATTTTCCTCGTTTAGGAAACAAGATACTCTTCCCTTTTAAGTCAGCTTGGTCTTGTTATTTAACCCACTTTCTCAATGCACAATAGAGAAAGTAAATGGCCCTCAATACGAGCTGTATTTACAGTGGACATTTTAATAGTTTTGCTGTAACTGACAAGACAACTTTGTTAGTCACCTTCATCAAACACCAGATGACTCAGGAGTTCTAGTAAATTATTTTTTTCTTTGTTGGCAAACAATACATTCTCTGGTATCATTTGGACATCACAAGCTTGTTGAAAGTTTTCTTTGTGTAGTTTTTGTGTAAGGCATGGCCAGGAGGAGTGCCCATGCTTCCTGTTGTGTGGCCAGTCCCAGCCTCCGGTCACTTTCCTTGGTGTGGGTGTCTTATCTGTCTCAGAAGCTCATATGCCTACAGAAGGCAGGACTCTGTGCTCCTCAAACTTCTTAGAATGAAAAGTAATATCAACTAGTCAAATTCCTTGTTCCCATCTAATTAATGCCCAGAGGATGATGAGTAGATTTATCAGAAATTTGAAATTTGTGGCTCTTGGGGTATCATTTTTATGAGGTTGGGGAAGTAAAAGTTGAGTTTCATGAATCATCTAATTGTCATCTCTCTTTCCCTAAATTCTGTCATTTTGAGTGTGTTGAATTCACAACTGGAAGCCCAATTGCAAAGGGTTTGTTTTGTTTGAATTGCACTATCTGAGGGCAAATGCACCAGGAGAGCCACTTGCACCATTTGGGGGGACTTTGGAGCACATTACAGTAGAATGCGGTGCCAGTGGAAAAATCCTACTCAGCATATCTAAATTCTAATGTGTGCACGATTATGCTCACTGCCATCTGACAGCTGTTTGGTTCCGCTGTGAAATGAATTAGTGCTGTCATTTTACTAATAGACCAAAAATAAAGTTGCTGGCATTGTTTCCAGCAGCCAGTTCTAACACAAGCCAGTCTGAATGAATTGCCCTCTCACTCGTCACAGCCATGTCTGTTACAGGACAGGCGAGCAGAACAGAAGGCATTACTCAGGATACTAATTAAAGGAAACGAGATGCTCCTTGGAGCAAATATTAGGATTGACCAAAAATAACCACATGCATTTCTAAAGTGGTGAGTGGATCACTTCTAAGCTGTGTCTTGGAGGCACGCACTGCTCCGCCCAGGGCATGTGTCTAAAATCACTCAACAAACTCAAATACAGCTTAAACTGTTTCTGGGGTGTCTGGTGGTGCACTAACTTCAAAGATGGTTTCATAAGAAGCAATAGACACATCCTGTTTTATGGAGCTTAGCGATGAGTGATGTGTCTCATGCGAGGATAATGCAATGCCAAGCAAAACCTTGTTTTTCTTTTTTTCTTTTTTGATTGTCAACAAACAAACTCACGTTTTGTATAGTGTATTTCTGAATCCATGGTGATGGTTTCATGGCACTTACTATAATTTTTTGTTAAGCCGCTGTGCTGGGTGTTGCACATTGACTTCACTTCACTCTTTCAAACACAACTATAGATGGGCGTTAAAATCTTCATTTTACAATTGACAACTGAGGTTAAGAAACTCGCTTATGTTCACGCAGGTAACAAGTAGTTTGTGCCAGAATCTAAACCATTTCTATTCTTAGGAAATTGAGAAGAAAAAAAAAATGAGAAAAAAACTAAGTGGAAGTTATTTCAATATGCTATGATAATATCATTTTCCTTTTTTGACTTCTCTTTTCCAAGCTAAGCATTTCCATTGATGCAAAACCACGGGTTAGTCTCCTTTGAGTAAAATACATTGTGTTGACAAAGGATTTATGGTGGATTCCAGGAAGTAAGAGTACTTCTCCTATGTGAAATAACCAATGCTAAGGCAATAGTCTGAAAATCTCTTCTGAACGCTGTACCATGGATGCAGCATTGATTTGAGAAAGTGTCCAGCATAGTCACGACATGCTAGTTTAAACCTCAGTTTTATTACTTAGCTTTTAGCCTTGAGAAAATGACTAATCCTCTTGTGCCTCGGTTTCCATATTTCCAAAAGAGGATAATCATATCGGATGACTGACATCATAGGCTTTTTGGAAAAATTCAATGAGCGAAATAAATGTGAAGTGCATGGAAGTGTGGCTGGTAGAGTGTAAGGGCCTGTTGTTGTTATTGCCTCACTTACTGTGTACCCATAGAACATATTTAGTTCAAGTCTTGCTTATGGCTATTCAACTTTCATTTATATGTGCCATCCAAATAAATTTAAACATAAATAGGAAAATATAAGTAAAATTTAAATATTAATATTATAAACATAAGTTTAATATAGTGTAAGATAAATATTAATGGATTTAATATAAATTCACATTACTTAGGTTGGTGCAAAAGAAATTGCCATTTTTGCCATTACTAGCTAAAATTTAAGTGAGTTTTAAAAATGTTCATATTTAATATTAAACATCACCTTCATGAAACTTATTTTTTGCCCCCCACTGCTCATCTTTGTATCACTCAATATGCCTCAAACATAGTTTGGCTTTGCAAAAATTACTTTCGTTGCTTGACAAATATTTATTGATGATTAACTGAAACAATTTCTAGAGATTACATATACAGCGTTGAACAAAACAGCACAAAATCCCTGCGCTCATGGGTCTTAATTCCAGTGGAGAAAGCCACATCATAAACAAATACATGATTGAAATATACAGCATATCATAAGGTGATAGATGACATAAATATATAGCCTATCACAAGGTGACAGATAATATAAAATAGTAGGGAAGTGGCATACGGATTGTCAGGCTATAGGTTGAGTTTCAATATTAAATAGAGTGTTCCGGAAAGCTCTACGCTGAGAAAAAGATAAACACTCGCGTGGAATTCTGGAGAAATACCATTCCCTAAAGCAGTAAAAGCACGTAAAAAGCTCTGGCGTAGAGTGTTTTTGGATAAGTCTGGATGTATTTTAACTTTAATACCAATCGAGTTTGCTAATTGATTGGTTGACCTGAGAAAGGAGAGTTTTAGGGGTGATGCCAAAGGTTTTGAAAGAGGACACTTCAAAAGGCGAAGATTGGAGTTAATGCGGGTGTGGGTAGGGGATGTGAGAATCAGGAGTTCATTTTTAGGCAAGTTAAATGTAAATTCCCAATCAGACACCCAATGGCAGATGCCATTTGAGCAGCTAGAAATGTAAGCTGAAGTCCAGGAGAGAGGATCAAGATGGAAACGTAAGTGGAGTTGCTAGCAGTAAGATGAGGTCATCAGCAGGCAAGAAGAGAGTGACATGAAGAGGTCAAAAGAGTATTTTGGTTACTCTAGGGGTTAGACTCTAGAGAGATGAAAACAAATAAACACCGACTAAGTAGACCAGATGGTGAAAAGGGGGAGTTCTTAGGAGTGTGTACTGTCCTAGAAGTCAACTCAAGCCTTTCAGGAAGGAAGAGGTGATCAGCCCTGGCGAATGATACTAAGTCATGACTGATGAGGAGAGGTGATTTTTCACTGGATTTCACCATAAGTAGGTCATTGGTGACCCTGATAAGGACATTTTGAGTCGAATGGCAGGTGTGAAACTCTTACTTCTGTGGTTCAAAAGAGAATTAGATGAGAGAAGTTAGAGAGGTCAAGTAGAGACTTCCTTATAAGGAGTTTTGTTCTAAAATGAAATGTAAGGAAATGGAATAGTTGTAGAAAGGGGGAATGAAGAGAAGAGTTATGTTCATTGTTGACTGTTTTGCCTTTAACGTAGGAGAAATGATCTTTATATTCTCATAAGGAAAAGAAAATTGGTTGAGTAATATCTTTCAGTAATCAGACTAATGTCTTATGTAAAAGTGGAAGCTTTAAAAAGTGAGGACATTTTGGCCGGGGGCAGTGGCTCACGCCTGTAATCCCAGCACTTTGGGAGGCTGAGGCGAGCGGATCACGAGGTCAGGAGATTGAGACCATCCTGGCCAACGTGGTGAAACCCCGTCTCCACTAAAAAAACAACAACAACAAAAGAAAATTAGCCAGGCATGGTGGCAGGTACCTGTAGTCCCAGCTACTCAGGAGGCTAAGACAGGAGAATGGCATGAACCCAGGAGGCGGAGCTGGCAGTGAGCCCAGATTGCGCCGCTGCACTCCAGCCTGGCAACAGAGCAAGGCTCTGTCTCCAAAAAAAAAAAAAAAAGAAAAAAAAAAAAAAAAAAAAGAAAAAAGTGAGGACATTATACTCACAGCATCAAGGGCATTCAGTACAGATGCAAAGAGGTAGTTGAATGAGGTGAGAGAAGGATATGACGGCTGTTTTCACATTGCTTCTATTTTCTCCATGAAGTAATGGGCAAATTCATTAATGAAAATGTGATGAGGGATAGGTCTTGCAAGATTAAAGAATGGGGAGCAGTAATGTAATATTCAAAGCATCTTCTATAAAAGTCTCCCTTCAAGAGTGGAAGAATAAAGAGGCTGTGAGAATTGAGCATAATTTTGGGGCTGCTATATGGATGCTTGGGAGAGGAGTGGTCATGAACATACAGAGAGACCAGGAAGCTTAGCTCCATGCTATCTTCCAGTCACTCTCAGCTGCAGGAACGCAGCAGTAATAAGGCTAGCGGAGAGGTCAGAGCCAGAGAGGAACAAGGGAATTGAGGGTGCAGTCAGGGGAAGGAGTGTGATGATGAAGTATAGATTTGAAGGAGGGAAAGAGGAGAGAAGGGGCAAAGACCGTGGGGAATGATAATTGGATTTGCAGTTTATGATGTTCCTGGAGGGAATGAGCCCCCAAAACAGAGATAAGAGCATGGGATGTCAGAAAGTCGCAATTTTGGAGAAGTAGATGTGGTTGGTATTAGGGCTGGTCTCTGACCATATGACTAATTAATGAAAGAGAATGGAAGACAAGTTCATCGGAAGGGGAGGAGGTTGAGAACAAAGGAAGCCATGGGGTTAGAAGGACCATTTAGCAGGATAGTGAAGTCACCACGAATTATAACAGTGGTAGCAGCAGGAATGTGGCAGGGAGTCCGGTGCTGAAATTTTCAAGGAGCCAGTGTATCAAATGCACGGGAGAGCAGGGTGGGATGGATGGCTTCAATAAGAGGATCTACATGTGAGTAACCTGAAGACAGAAGAGTCAAAGCTGGGAATTTGGGGGGAAAGTCAGGAAATGATGATGAGCAGCCAATCCCAGGGAACGGAGGGGTGAGTGAGAGAGGAAGCACTGCTGGACAGGGCTGCGGGGACTATGTTCAAGAGAGGGGACGCCAGCTTCAGGTGGAATGTTAAGGGAATTCTCAAAGAAGGAGGATTAGATGGGAGGTGAGTTTTTCCGGTATTTGGGATGAGAATAAAATGAGATGGAGGGTCGGGTACGACACAGAATCCGGGATTCTTGTGGTGACCGAGGTGACAGGGATGGAGGACATGATGGATTGGTCTAGACAGGCTCAAAGCAAACATCAGACAGGGGAGCTACTGCTGGGAGGGTAGAAGCTGACCTGGGAGGTTCTCCTCTCTGGGTGAGGGGATGGTGCTGCTTGGGCCACTGGAAGCTTGAAATTACCTATGTTTTTAAAACATGTCCAAATAATATAAAATAGTTGTGGTCATAAACAACTAACATCTGATACACCTCTTTGGTGAATAAAATGTAATAACAATACGTGTGGGTTTGATTGGAGCACACTTAATTTTATTCCTGTAGAAATATTATAAAAGCACTTTGACTTGATTACAGGTTTCAAGACATATATCTAATATTTTAAATAAGCATACAATGCTGAAATTCATTAAGTTATTTCAGAAACCGTTTGAAGAGTTTTTCTCTTAATTTGGATGGAACCCCTGTTTTGATGAATCCTCGACTCCCAGCTTCAAACAGAAGCTTTATGTGGAGCTGAAGAAGGTTATCTTCAATTTTCTTTGTAAAAACTCATTTTCTTAAAATCAAGTATATCATATTGCATGCTCAGCGTATATTAACTTTCAGATTTTAAATGGACTCAGTTTCATGTTAAGAAACACCTGTTAAAATACTTAGGGAATATAAGACATAATATTATCTAAAATAAAGTTGTGAAGTTGGTATTGTACTGAGTCATTGCAATATACAAAAGATTGGCACCTGGTAAATCCATGTTGAGTTCAATTTTTCTGCTATTAAATAAAAAATGTTCTTCAAATGCCCTAATAATCCTTTAAAAGCATGAGCTCATCAATAGTTTTTTAAAAAGGAAAAAAAAAAAAAAACTGATCTGTATGCACTCTATTAGAGAGAAACTCTTAGAAACAAAGTGTCCATTAAAAAATCTGAAAAAAAAGGCAAATTAGCCTGAACGGCCTAAAATATGGGTTGTATTAAATTTAAAGACTTCAAGATTGCAGGTCAGTCTGGATCCCAGCCATCCTATTTCAAACTCCAGCAGCTCTAATGAAAGTAATGGCTGATGTGGCTGGCCCTGTGCCTTGCACGAAAGGCATAGAGGGCAATTTTTATTGACTTTTTTAGAACTCGTGATGTTGCTGAACACAAGAATTTGCGTGGAGCAAATGAATGAATCTCGATGTCTGCATACATGCATGTGCACATGTACAAACATATGCTCCTGGAACGGCAAACACAGGATGGATATATAAATGAAAAGCATTTGGAAGCTTTGACAATTTATAACACACACAAAACAGTTTCCTATGGGACCAGGAACTGCGAAATCCCATTTGCTAGTATCTTACTTATTTTAATTCATTAAACCAGAGAGCCAGAACTTCTTCCATGTCCATAAGTTTGCAACTTCCAAGCTTGCTTCAAGCTGCTTTCTCTATGGCTTGTATTTAATCAGTAATTACTTCCCTAACCACAGCTATATTTTCCCAAATACAAATTACTATAGAGCAGAGAGTATACACTATTTTAATGTACTCGTATTTAGATCTCTCTTTTGGCATGCTGATACTGTCCATAAGTTAATTATGTGTGTGTCTGTCTACCTCCACTAGATGGTGTGGGAATTCACTTGGAAAGAAAGGCTTATCAACCTGGTGCTAATACATTGGTCCAGAGAGCCCTAGATGAGGTCTGGAGAAAAAAGCCAACCTTTTACTTCTCATGAGAGCTTAAAATGATGATATTTACTACTTTGGTACACTTTTAATCTGGGATCTTTCTCTCACCTTAATGGCTTAGAAAACTTATTTTAATAGCTTCCTAAAAGCAGATGCATCTTTTAGAAATAGACTCACATGAGGAAAATTCAGGAGCCTGATGTATAAAACAAAAGTCTTCATTAGATTCAAGGTAAAACTGCTTTTTTCAAAAGGAGTTTCTGTACTAATAAATTCAGCTGCAGACTACAATATGTGCTGATTGAAATTCACATTGTTGACATCTAGGATGGTGTTACAACTACAAATATGGCAAGATCCAGGGGTGGTATAAAGACAAAAAAGGGGGATTATGCCAGTTAGGTGGCCAGGATTCAGAGAGGAAAGTTTCTTGAATGTTAAGCTAAGGACATTGAACTTAAGCGTGAACATGAGGAAAAGCCAGTAAAATCATACCCATTCTTTGAAAGGCTCATCAATTTCTCACATATGACGTTAACCTCTTTAGCCCTTGCCTATGTTTGAAACTCTATTCTAATTATTTTATTCTGTAATTTAGTACTTCACTATATGGTGTATTGTTTAAATTGTTTTCACATGTAGAATTGAAGCTCCCTCATTACTAATGATGGTCCTTTGTTGCTGTTTTTGTGGGGAGGAATTACACACAAGGGGAAATACGGTTTGTCATATATTTAAACACATAGTAAATTCCAGGCTAGGATCATCTTTATTTATTAATCTGTATGCTGATCACACAAAGTTTTATCATTATTCCCATTTTAAACACAAAACTCTTAAAGCTCTAAGCATTTACATGGCTAAAAGTCACCAGCTAGTGAATGTTACGACTGAGATTCTTACAGAACACTTGTCTCATACTTATTTACAAAGCTGTGTACATATTAGGTGCTCAGTAAATAATTTTGACTGTTTCCTGGAAGAAGCTTTTAAAAAACATTCTCAAGAATATATTCTGGAGCATCTTAAATGGATTTGTGAATTAGAGACTTTTATTTTTTATTGAGAATGTCAGTTATTTTATGGTTTAAAAGTTTCAATTAGACATAAAAAGACCTTGAAAAGAAAATACCACACAAGATAGGGTCATTCATAGGTGAAAGAACAGTGCTGATCAATAATTTTGATAAATGAGAAACTAATTGATAAATCTGTTAGCATTTGTTTGAAAGCTGTAGCTAAATGTTGCAGAGTGGCCGGGTGTGATGGCTCATGCCTGTAATCCCAGCACTTTGGGAGGCCAAGAGGGGCAGATCAGGAGGTCAGGAGATCGAGACAATCCTGGCTAACACGGTGAAACCCCGTCTCTACTAAAAATACAAAAAAATTTGGCCGGGCATGGTGGCGGGCGCCTGTAGTCCCACCTACTCGGGAGGCTGAGGCTAGGAGAATGGCGTGAACCCAGGAGAGGAGGTTGCAGTGAGCCGAGATCGCACCACTGCGCTCCAGCCTGGGGTGACAGAGTGAGACTCTATCTCACAAAAAAAAAAAAAAAAAAAAGAAGTTGCAGCAAGACAATTTAAAAAGAGGATAATTAAAAACTTTTAAAGCTATCAGTCCTAACGAATATTTAAAACTCATACTAAGAGTAGAGACGATTGTCCACCCCGAAGTAGAAATAACCACACCACAATATTACAACAGCCTCCTTGGAGTGAGGCCCACCACATACTACAGATCATCCTTCTACATTCTCAGCTACTTGGAGTTCTGTTGTCAGGAAACTTGTCATTGTAGAACCACCTGCTCTAAACACTTTGCCAGATGTGGCATTAGCAACATAAAAGATGGCATATCTCTTCCTTGACTGATAAAGTAATACTAGCTATTTGATATTTCTAGAGAGATACCAAGTTAGAAATTGATACCAGTATGTATGACCTAGACAAAGGTATTTAAAAATCATCTAAGTCTTTTCAGTAGCAGGTGTATGACAACCCATTTTTTCCTACTCTAGAATGTTTTAAAGAACAAGCTTAAAATTGTGACAATTGGAGCCATTAGAACATTGGAAGAAAATTGTTTTAATTAGAAAGATGTATCCTGACATTACATTATTTTCCGATTATAAATATTGTATAATTAGCATGTAATATTGAGATACATGTCAGTATTAAGGTTTTTCCCTTCATGTCTTTGTTATTCAAACATATTTGTATTTTGAGATTCAAATCTAGTTAATTTGAAATCTTATTAATATCTATTTCTTCATCTTACTGCCGCAATTTAAAGCAGAATCTTAGAACAAGTGATGCATATTGTCTGTTTCATTAGCAAATAAAAGTGAATCTCAGGTGCTGCACTGTGGCCTGGGCAAAAGAGCAAGATTCCGTCTCAAAAAAAAAAAAAAAAAAAAAAAAAAAAAGAGTCTCAGGCTTGTTGACATTGCTCATGGGCACACAGAAGTTTCATGAAAACCCTGCAACAGATCACGTATCTCCCGAAGCTTTCTTCATTTCCATGTTCCTAATGATTTCTTATTTTGAATGAAGTAACTTCTCTTTTCCACTTAAGATTATATCTTTTTCGACTTCCTCTTTCATGGAAAGATAATCTTCAGTTGAATATGCTTATACATTTAAAATTAGAAAACAATGTTCTGCTTAGGTAACTAATGCTCAGTTTTTATGAAAAAACGCATGCTCACACGCTAAATAAACAGAAGGGAGCTGTTCTTGTTTTTTTTAAAATAGGATCAAACACATACATGTTGATCATCATGCATGGACGTAGAAATGAGAGTGATTGCTCGACCATGTGATGGCGTGCAGATGGTTATATACTCTTCTTAGGGAAAAGAGAGATGGGGAAGTGTGCATAATTTGAGAAGGGTAATAATTTTTCTTTATTTTTTTTTTAATTTCATTAGATTTTTAGGGAACAGATGGTGTTTGGTTACATGAATAGGTCCTTTAGTGATTTCTGAGACTTTGGTGCACTCATCACCCAGGCAGTGTACCTTGTACCCAAGGTGTAGTCTTTTGTTTCCCATCTGCCTCCCACCCTTTCCCCCTAGTCCTGAAAGTTGTTGTATCATTCTTATGCCTTTTCATGCTCATAGCTTAGCTCCCACTTCTTATAAGTGAGAACATACGATGTTTGGTTTTCTATTCCTGAGGTACTTCACTTAGAGTAATTGTCTCCATTTCCATCCAGGTTGCTGCAAATGCCATGATTTCATTCCATTTTATGGCTGATCGGTATTCCATTGGGTGTGTGTGTGTATGGGGAGATATATAGATATTTATGTGTGTGTGTGTGTGTGTGTGTGTATCACATTTTCCTTATGCACTCATTGCTTGATGGGCATTTAGGCTGGTTGCAGTTGCGAATTTTGCTGCTATAAACTTAACTGTGCAAGTATCTTCTTCGTATGCTTTTGGCAATCGATAAATCCAGTGCAATTCCCATTGCAGAGTGAGACTGGCTGTCACTCTGTAGCCCACCAGGCTAGAGTTCAGTGGTGCAGTCTTGGTTCACTGAAACCTCTGCCTCCCAGGCTCAAGCAATCCTCCTGCCTCAGCTTCCTGAGTAGCTGGGAGTACAGGTGCATGCTACCATGCCTGGCTATTTTTTTTTTTTTTTACTTTTAAGAGATGATGTCTCACTGTATTCCCCAAGCTGGTCTCAAACACCTGGGCTCAAGCGATCTGCCTACCTTGGTCTCCCAAAGTGCTGGGATTGGCGTGAGTCATTGTGCCCAACTGGAAATGTTATTCTTGCTTTGCAAATAATTACTTCTATATTTAGCATACATTCCCATTACAGTAGTAAAACTTAAAAATACTAAACACAAATGGAGATGGTATAAGACAGAAATGGGTGATGCATGCCAACATTATAGCTAGCTACTCCTTCTATAGAATTAGAACAAAATGATTATAAAACATTCCATTTTTAAAAGTAACAGAATATATTTATCTAAAGTTAATGGCATAAATGGGGAATATTTCAACGGTTACAAAAACTGTCAGACTTACAATTACACTTATATGTGTTTCTAGATACACTACCGAATTAAAGACTGTAATGGTTTTCATGCTATCATTTTCTAAGTTAATGTGTATCTACTTTGAGGGTTCACATGCATAATTGAATTGTATTCTCTTCTTCCACTTAGCATTTTTTTTTACAAATGCTTACACAGCAGAAACATTTGTAGCTGCTAATTTTACAAAGACTCTTCATCATACATGTTTGTGTTTATGTCTCCCTAGCTTTTGGAACAGAGTCTTATCAAAACATTTAGATAGAAGTATTAGTATAATGGGGGCAATATTAATAATTTTATCCTGAAATCTATCCTCCTCTTGGCCTTTCTTTCAGATAGTTATAGCTCCACGACAGGCAAAAAAAAAACAGTAGGTGGGGAACTGGTGTAGGGAGTGAGGGGTGGAGATTTGTATTCTTCATCGAAACAGTAATCTTGCTGCTATTCTTGATGAGAGACTGCTTTTCTTGTTTTTTTTATGATTCTTTAGCGCTTCTGGAGCCTGGCTAGCTGGACCAGATATTGGGACTACTCCCCTAGTCTTAATGCAAACAATGCTCTCAGATACTAAGAATAGCGAAGGGGCTGAAGTTATGAAGAATTAGCAAAAGCCCTTCTTTGTGGTAGTTCTGGAGTAAGAGAGAAGATAAAAGAAGATAAACAGTTGGGAGGAGAAAACCAGCCAGATGTCTGATGTTCTCTCATCTCTGGCTAAAAGAGGAGGGGTTGTTCTAAGGGAGTGTCAGAGGACAGCAGGGACAAAGGGCTTCAGCTCCACTCTCTGGGTCTCCCAGCGGAGGTTCATGTGGGTGCAGGAGGTGCCAGGACACCCTGGAGCTGTCCAGCACGGGAAAGGGATATGGGATATGCCACGCAGAGGGAAAGGGTCTACCTCCTCTGCTGTGCCTCTTCCCTTTCTTAACTGTGAATTAACTCTTCCCTTTCTTAACTTCTTGAGCTGTGAGTTGAGATTCAGTGCACCTGCTGTAGAGGAACACTGTGGTGAAAACAGACGTGTAGACAAGGTTGTATCGGACTCTCTAGCCCAGAGAAGCACAAAGGACCATGAAAAAATCCAGAAATTTAAAGTCAGCTGAAAACTAAGGTGAGGCTGCATCAACAGGAAGGTGCAGATGGATCTGATTAAGATCAGGAAAAGAGAAAATGTCACTCTTTGATCTGGGCAACAGATAAGCCAGTCAGGGCCAGCAAGACGCCCAAGGGAATAGGGAAAGAAAGGAGAAATTCTACTACTATCACAGGAGTTCCCAGCCCTAATGACAACATCTCACCTTCCTGCAGCTACTGGGGGCATCCACAGACATGGGTTGAACCAAAGTCCATTTGCTCCAAAGCAATGAGTTTAGGCTGAATGAGCGCCTCATCTCACTCATTCACACCCAGAGGTATTTCAGAAGGGAGAGAACCTGAGCAGTTTTCTTCAAAGACTCAGTACTAAAAATCGCATATTGAATAGGACGAAATATTGATTGTGTTCTAAGAAAACCATTTCTAGTGGAGCTCATGATGGAAACAGGACATTTAGAACCCAAGAGAATAACTACATTCTCCATTAAATTATTGAAACATAGGAGGGTAAACATTTTTACTCAACTTCATTATATATGTCAATTTTTATATTTGTTTTCTTATGAAAGAATAAAATAATTACTGTTTTTCTAAGACCTAGGCACTTGTCTCAGAAGTATACAACACACAGATGTATGTTGGATGATAGTTCAAATGAATAAGCTCTCAATAATAATACTTAGAAGATAATCTGGAAAATTAATCGTTAGTGCTCTGAGAGGATTGAGGAGTTTGTTTCAGATATGAGTAACTGAGAAGTATTAGCCCTTCACTGAGGTGTTCTTTGAAGGCAGCCATGCTATATATGTGTTGCTCTATTACGTAGCAAATTGGCAAATGGCATATTCTGCGTTAATACCTGAAACACAGGCAATATCTTACAATCTAGCTAACGGATTTAAGATGGAAAGGTATATTTCATATGTCTCATGGTTGTTCCGTGTGCTCCATGTGTGTACATTCCTAGAACTTTGGAAAAGATACAGAAACATAGGAAAATATGGCATATAAAGATGATCAGTTAAGGATTGCAGCTTTTTCTGTTTTTAAGGCAATGAATGTCTGAAGGCAAATGGATCAGAGATTTTCAAGGTCTGCTCCTGGAGTTCCAGGTTCTTGGTTAATTATAGTATAGGAGTGTGAAGGTGACTGGGCTAGTGCTCACGTCTTTTCAACATTGATAATTTAATCAATGACACTTTACCAAACTCATTAATTGGAAACGAGAGTCAGAAGGCCTTTCTCTTGCTGCATGCTTATCTAGCTGTTGCCAAGTGAAACTGGGCCTAGGATGTATGAGATATGTTTAAATCTACATAGTGGCTGCTGCCATCTCAACATAATCATGCATGTGATATTCATAAAACTGCATTTTGGGTTCTATGTATTTTCCCTATTAAATGATTTCACAACCATAACTGAATTTCTCCTTCAGTTTCTTGGCCTTGGCAATTTAGAAAATGATTTTTCTGCTGCCTCAACTTTGTGATATTCCTTTTATTTCTAAAGCACCTAATTAAAAACTGCTTTGTAGGCCAGGTGGGGTGGCTCACGCCTGTAATCCCAGCACTTTGGGAGGCTGATGTGGGTAGATCAATTTAGCTGAGGAGTTTGAGACCATCCTGGGCAACATGGTGAAACTTCGTCTCTACTAAAAATACAAAAATTAGTCGGGCGTGGTGGCACACGCCTGTAATCCCAGCTACTCGGGAGATTGAGGCACGAGAATCGCTTGAACCCCGGAGGCGGAGGGTACAGTGAGCCTAGGTCATGTCACTGCACTCCAGCCTGGATGACAGAGTGACACTCCATCTCTCTTTTTTGTTTGTTTTTTATTTTTGACACAGTGTCCCACCGTGTTGCCCAGTCTGGAGTGCAGTGGCAGGATCTCCGCTCACTGCAAGCTCCGTCTCCTGGGTTCAAGCAATTCTCCTGCCTTAGCCTCCCTGGGTAGCTGGGATTACAGGTGCCTGCCACCACACCCGGCTAATATTTGTATTTTTACTAGAGATGGGGTTTCACCATGTTGGCCAGGATGTTCTCAATCTCTTGACCTCGTGATCCGCCCGCCTCAGCCTCCCAAAGTGCTGGTATTACAGGTGTCAGCCACTGTGCCCAGCCCACAGTCCATCTCAAAAAAAAATAATAATAATAATAATAACCCTCCCCCCCAAAAAACCCCTGCTCTTTTCTCATATCCTATTCAATTCATAGCAAATTCAGATGAAAGCCATTTACACAAGTTTTTATATTTAAGTTTCCTAGTGACCAATGACACTCCCATCTCCACACACAAACCGTGATTCTTTACCTTTTCTTTGGCTCAGGAGTGTTTGATGCCAATGGACTGATAATTCTTTTAAAAGTTTACGTTCTTTGGCTTCATATTTTTGGGAGGGATTTGAATAATTTTGTGTCTCTGATTTTAATCTCTATTTTCTCTTTACTGCTCCTCCTCATGTGACCTTCCCTACATATCCGTGGTCCCCATGGTAAAACCTGCCGCTTGTGTTTTATTCCAGGATATATTATCAGCTACATGCAAATAACTCTTCAGTTTATATCCTCACAAGTAAATTGAAAAATGTTAGAACGATCTGCTGTGTAAAAAGCAACCTCAAGACTTAGCACGTTGAAACAAAAATGCCCATGACAGTTTCAGTGGTCAGCAATCTGGACTTGACTCAGCTGTACAGATTCTGCTGGTCTTTCCTTGGACACTCATGCAGCTGCAGACCCATGGTGTCCCACAGGGTCGCATTGCCCCCAAAACCCTGGGACTCACTTACCCACTCACAAGTTTAGGATTGATGCTTGGTGTTGACTAGGTCTCTCTTTTAATGTGCTTTCTGCTCAAGGAGACTATCTCAGTATTCTTCATGGGAGCCTCAGGGTTCTAAGACATCTGAAAAGAAGCTCTCGGCAGAAGCTGGTGGACATACCCAGATGAGAACAGAGGCTATTGACTCAGGTTTGCCAGAACAAGCAAGGCAGCTGCCATGATTTGAGCTTAGCAGCCGCTCAAACTCAGGGGAGAGGGAAAGCCCTATGGTGGAAGAGGGGAAGGCTTCAGGCACATTGCACTTGGAGGTTTTTCACATGGGGAAGCTGGTGGTGGCGAAGAGCTAAGTGGAAGTAAGCCGTCTTCCCACTTCTCACCAGTCAACCCAGCAGTGTATTTCACTTCCTCTGCTTGGTCTGGAGTCAAAAGCGGGGGCAAAAATAGGGTAGCTGAAAGTCACTGGCCAAGTCTTACCTACTCTGAGCTGGTTGATGCAGTGGTTGTGGCTTGGTCTCCTGCACTGGTCACAGCAGAGGGTGTGGGTCAGAGTTCTATGTTCATATGTACTCTGATAATTAGCTGTTTATGTTCCTTCTCTCAATCACTAAGGCTCTGAAAGCCTAGTCTTCAAAGTCTTACATCACTTTTTCTGCATTGTAGTGGAAAAGCAAGTCCATAGCTCAGCTCAGTCAAGGGATGAGAAGGAAACACACCATGTCTTAAGAGAAGAAAGGGTAGAGTTAATGGCAAAGATGAGTGAAAGCAGTGAGTGGGGGAGTTATGGTGGCTGTCTTTGCACACAGTGCTTCTTACTGCATGAAATGCAACTTTTCAGGAAACAGCTTGATGAAGAATAGTTCTTGCCATACTTGCCTGAGCACAGGCATTATCTGGGTCCCTAGAGAAACACAGATTTGTGGCTGCCTTCAGTTTATGTCCTCATTCCAGGATCTAGACAACGACCCTAGTGCTCTGGGGTTTAAACAGGATCCCAGATGATTCTTAGGATAAAATGAATTCCTGAAGTACAAACACACATATGGTAGAAAGTTACAGAATCTGTTTTAAGTATTTGTGTGTCTTTGGATTAGCAGTGGTTTTCTACTGATAACTACCTTTCTACATTTTGGGGGACTAAGGACAACATATGAAACATGTGAGGTACACCTTAAAATTGGATACTTTTGGCCGGGCATGGTGGCTCATGTCTGTAATCCCAGCACTTTGGGAGGCTGAGGCAGGTGGATCACGAGGTCAGAAGATTGAGACCATCCTGACGAGGTCAGAAGATCGAGACCATCCTGGCTAACATGGTGAAACCCCGTCTCTACTGAAAATACAAAAAATTAGCCGGGCGTGGTGGGGGGTGCCTGTCGTCCCAGCTCCTTGGGAGGCTGAGGCAGGAGAATGGCGTGAGTCCGGGAGGCGGAGCTTGCAGGGAGCTGAGATCGCACCACTGCACTCCAGCCTGGGCAACAGAGCAAGACTCCATCTCAAAAAATAAATAAATAAATAAATAAATAAATAAAAATGGACGCTTCTGTGGGTAACAGTTTTCTTAACTATGTTGGTGATAAAACACATCCAATATGTCATTTATCATATCTCTATACGATGTTTTATTTCTCCTGTTACATTGACAACATTTTAGATCTCCCAGGCTTGGAATGTGGTATTATTATGGTTATTTCTCTTTTCCTTCTTTTCCCAATTAACTTCAATAAGAGATAACTTGATTGCTCCTCGTGACAGTTTTAAAAAAGTAGTTGGTTTTTCTTTTTCCCCAAGAAGAAGGCACAAAAGAGGAAACCTGACTGGTCAAAAACATGTTTATACCAGCCAGACTCAGGAAATGCAAATTAAAACACAATGGGATGACAATGAATTAAAGTCCAATTGCTGAGCATTAAAAATTATGGAATACCAAATGTTTAGGAGAATGCATAGAAGTGGTAATTCTCAAATTGCTCTAGAAAATGTAAATTAGTATAGCAATTTGTGAAAAGCAAATTGGTAATATCTAGGAAAGTTAAAAAATATTCCTAAATGATGAGCAAGTACATCATGCATGCATATCATAGGACATACACAGAGCTATTCATCCTAGAATTATAACAGTGGAAAACTGGAAACAACCCACATGTTTGTTAGTAGGGCGGGAGATATATAAAGTTTGTAATATTCATGTAGACATTATGCTTTAGAGTACTTTAAATAAAGTAGTTGTAAGGCTTTACATTTTTAATAGGTTTCAAAAATAAAGAAGCAAACAATATATTTGTGTAACTACTCATGCCAATTTTAAAATATACAGGAAAATAAAAAAATCTTAGAATGTGTTTACCCCAAATTAAAAATAAAGGTGGAGTTTAGGGAGGGAAGTGGATACTACGATTTGTGGAGGGATTTGTAGAGAAGTTTGACTTCACTTGAAATGTTTTATTTCTTAAACATCTCTTGTTCTTTTGATAAATTAACATTTTAGTGTCTTCTGCTGAGTATATGACTGATATATTATCCTTTGTATTTTTCTTTTACATTTCTGAGAAAAAAAAGCACTAACCAAATTATGTTTGTTTGTTTCTTTGTTTTGTTTATGTGAGATTTTCGTATGTTTCTATGGTCTAATTCTGGGGACCTCATTAATAGTAATTTCCAAGTACTCCCTCCACATATCAGCTCTTTACACTCACCAAGAGAAGGATGACAAGGATTACATAGTTATATGATCGCATTTTCTAATTCTCCTGGTTCTGTATTCTTCATTTATGCTTAATATATGACCCAAAGAGGAGAGAAAGTATTGCTAGAAGTAGCCCACTCCCTCCAGAAAAAGTAACAGGCCAGTTGATGTTATTTTGTGTTTTAAATTAATGAAAAGCTTTAGAACAGATACACTTAATATTTATCATTCTGTACAGACTTTCACTGGAAACATTCCTATAATGTAGAGTAAGAGAAAAGCAAATGTAAAATAAGACCAGACTAACTGCATGCTTACTTAATGCTGGTTAGGTCACACCTGAACAATTACAAAGAACATGTTATGTTACAAGTGTGTGAGGTAAGAGACGTAGAGATGGCAACAGGTTTTCAAAGCATTAGTAACTTTGAACAAATAGCTGGATGAGAGAAGATGAAGAGGAGACGTTTCAGCTGATTTCAAAGTTTTAAATGGTTTTTAAATCAAAGGGAAGGCAGGATTATTCAGTGCTGGGTCCAGAGGTACTGGGAGGATCAAGGACTGAATACACAGAAAGACAGGTTTTATTTTATTTTTACTTTTTTCTGCCAAGTATAAACAAGTACATTTTATTTTTTGTTTTTTCCATGAGCTATTGGAGTTCAAGTGGTATTTGGTTACATAGGTAAGTTTTTTAATGGTGATTTGCAAGATTTTGGTGCACCCACCACCTGAGCAGTATACACTGTACCCTATTTGCAGTCTTTTATCCATCACCCCCCCACCCTTCCCCCTCAGTCCCCAAAATCCACTGTATCCTTCTTATGCCCTTTGTATGCTCACAACTTACCTCCCACATATCAGTGAGAACATATGATGTTTGTTTTTCATTCCTGAGTTACTTCACTTAGAAAAATAGTCTCCAATGTCATCCAGGTCTCTGCAAATGCCATTAATTCATGCATTTTTATGGCTGAGTAGCAGTCCATCATGTGTTCGTGTGTGTGTGTGTGTGTGTGTGTCTGTGTGTGTGTGTGTGTATCACAGTTTCTTTATCCACTTGTTTGATGGATATTTGGGTTCATTCCATGATTTTGCAATTGTGAATTCCACTGTAAACACGCATGTGCAAATATCTTTTTCGTATAATGACTTCTTTTCCTCTGGGTAGATGCCCATTAGTGGGACTGTTGGTAGAAGTAAGTTTTTAAATAATTACATTTAGCTGGGCAGAGACAGCTGTATCTTTAGTCCTGGTTTACTTCTGACATTAGTCCAAATGAGGTGGACATTCATTCATCAGGAATGTGGTAAAATAGATGCTTGGTGTAAATGGATTCAATTATGTGTTTAACATGATTGTGTCTTCTGAGAGTAAAATTTTAAATTACCAGACATGAAATCCTTTGTTGTTACTCGATAGTCATATTTTTTTCTTTATATAATCTTGGCAGATACGATTTGGAATAAGGACATTAAAGAATATTTGTTGACAGCTGTCATTTGTGGCTATGAAAAGAAACCTACACGGTTTGAAGTGCATATTCAAAATCCGTCTTGTTAATTCTCATAAGCCTTCAGATAGGATTTTTGAATATGTTGTAGAAATATGTCTATTTTAGCTAAAATAAAGTACTATTGCCTCAAGGCTGTCTCTTTGTAAAAGCCCTTAATTGATGTAGTTTTTCATTTTTAATTATTGTAAATGGTTTCATATTAAATTCTTAAAAATACTTCCAAACATTCAACTCTTTTTTTTTTTTTTTTTTTTTTGCCAGTTTGGATTTATGCATCTCTTCTGCGTGTTGTAAAAGATAAGCTCCCACAGAAATAGTATTTATGAACAATTATGCAAGTATGATATGAAAGTACACTCAACTTCCTGATTATGGAGACCAAGCATATCTTGACATAATGCTTTGAGTCATTACTTAATTCTTTTAAAATATTTTCCATGATTATTTAACACATAAGAAGAAATTTGCACTTCTGAGTGTAGGCTCATTTGTCACTTACGGTAAATTGTTTCAGGAATTACTATCTAAAAGTAGAGTGACTTAATTTAAAAAGTCTGCTCCTATAGCTTAAGAAAATGATAATTGAAGCATAAAATATTTACATTTGTTTAGACAAAGTGAGTGACACTCAGATACCTCCTAGCCACAAGATGGCATTGTGTTAACTCATTTTCCAAATTAAGAAATTTCCTTCATTCCGTTTTACAGAAACTTTCCATTTATCCTAACTCTATTAATTGGCTTTTGAAATTCTGTGCATCCGTTTTATGTTTTTTAATCTGGATATCCCCCATGTATCTCAAACTCAGTCCCTTTCAAATGAAGCCGATTACTGTCCTTTCATTCATACAATAGATAATCGTAACATATTACACTTCATGATTTTTCTATCAATAGTATTATCTGCCTCGAAGTTTCCTTTTAACTATTCATGATACTATACCTTTTTCA
Source organism: Homo sapiens (assembly GCF_000001405.40). Taxonomy (NCBI): domain Eukaryota; kingdom Metazoa; phylum Chordata; class Mammalia; order Primates; family Hominidae; genus Homo; species Homo sapiens. The sequence goes on along the minus strand of NC_000008.11, from coordinate 4,386,875 downwards.
GTCATCCACGAGGGATTCAACATTTGCTGCTGTGGTCTTATTTCCGCTTTACATTAATCCCAAGAGCCCAGAATATTTTTTTATTGTATCTCTTCAACTGAAACCAACTGTTTCTACCCCTAATTAAAGTCATCATTAGCACTTCTCTGCCAGCTATCCCTTACCATCTGGATCCTTGTCTGCAATACATTCTGCAAGGGCTCATCAGGTAATCTTCCTGAAAGGCTGAGATAACTCCCATGGCTTGCCAGGGTCTCTCTGATTAAATATAAACTGCATGCCCTGCCGTAACAGGCCTTTCTCTCTTATAGGTCTTACTTATTTTAGGCTTGCTTTAAGTTCCTCTTTAGAGTTAGACAAGCAATGGGATTGAGATTCTCTATTGGAGACTGGGAGATAAGGTGGTTTTGATGGACATGTAAAGAGAGGAGAATGTCTGATAGTGTGTATTGTTTGAGTGGGATGGAAGTCATAACCGGGGATGGAACTTAGGAGAATGTCTGATAGTGTATATTGTTTGAGTGGGATGGAAGTCATAACCGAGGACGGAAGGTAGGAGAATGTCTGATAGTGTGTTTTGTTTGAGTGGGATGGAAGTCATAACCGGGGATGGAAGGTAGGAGAATGTCTGATAGTGTGTATTGCTTGAGTTGGATGGAAGTCATAACCAGGGATGGAAGGTAGGAGAATGTCTGATAGTGTGTATTGTTTGAGTGGGATGGAAGTCATAACCAGGGACGGAAGGTTTGAAATTCCCGGGTAAAAGTCAAGATTCTGGGTACAGCGAGAGAAGAGCAAACACAAGAAGGTATCACAGAGAAGACAGGATGGCACAGACTGGAGAAATCGTAGTGATAAAAAAAGGGAAAGTTAAAATGAAACAGAGGAAATGAACTTAAAGGAAAGATGCTGATGCTCTGGGTTGGGTATCTGAATGTTGAGGGGTGAGAAACTCTGGAATTCCTGGAGAACTGGTTCTGAGAAAATTCTGGCATTAATTTTTAAGCATATATTTTTAAATATCCAGATTTTAACAGTTTCCCAGAAACACAAAATAATTTTTAAGCTATGAGACATTAACACTCTACAAATACAAACAACCATTACAATCGACATGAATTCCTCTTTAGATTTTTATAATTTTCAACGTATGGGTTGAATTTTCTCTATAAAAATACTATATTACTATTTTTAGCATGTGCTTTGGATAATGCCTACAGGATGATGCCAATTGTCTTTGCATCTGTTACTGATTCATAAATACATTAAATCAGCAATTAATAACATTCTTACTCCTTAAAAACAATACACTGTAGTAATGTGCAGTCCAAAAAAATGAAAGGAGATTAATATTCTTAAGACTACTAATACGGTAGTACTAAGCTCCAAATATCTATTTTAAATATGAATTTAAAAATAAAACTAAGAAAAGAAACATGTACTAAGTGAAATCAGTGCTGTAGCAAGTGCATGCATTTGCCCTTCAGAACAAATGTTAAGGCTGGGGCCACGTCGGTTATTTGTGGCAGTGAAGGGCCCGTTTTAGGTGACTGCCTGTCAGACTACATCATTGTTTAACATGAACAGATAGTATTTTGAAAGCCTGATGAATAAACATCAAACACCTATTTAAGAACTTTTTTAATGTGGCCGGGTGCAGTGGCTCATGCCTGTAATCACATCACTTTAAGACGCCGAGACGGGGAGGATCACCTGAGGTCAGGAGTTCAAGACCAGCCTGGCCAACATGGTGAAACACCGTCTCTTCTAAAAATACAAAAATTAGCTGGGTGTGCTGGAAGGCACCTGTAATCACAGCTCTTCGGGAGGCTGAGGCAGGAGAATCCCTTGAACCAGGGGGACGGAGGTTGCATTGAGCCGAGATCGAGATTGCGCCATTGCACTCCATCCTGGGTGACAGAGGAAATTTCCTGATGTGAAGATGATTACCTTGATCTGGAAGCCATCCAGCCACTCTGTTGATAGTCACCAGAAATTAGAGCAGTTGTATTTGTTAAGATCAAACAGTAGCCTCTTTCTCTACTCAAATTAGGTAGCATAATTTTGATGTTCTGTAGGACTGATTAGTGAAGTCGGGAAGCCCGACCGGTAGGAATTGCTGATGTGAAGTGGCACAACATTGCTCCATAGAGTGTGTGCACGTGCCTTGGCCCTGGGAAAGGCCCACTCGTGTCTGTTGCTACTTAATGTTGGAGGGAATATGAAATAGCAGGTTGTTGAATAACAAAAAAAAATCTTCTATTTTATTTTTCTTCCAGAAATGTATGCCTTTTCTAAGTAGCATTGCTTACAGCACTGATACAGGGGTAGGACTTCATAAAGTATTGAATAAAGTATTTGTCACAGTATCAACTATTTGATCAACAAATTCATAGATAGTAGATAGAAGAAGCTTTATTTGAAAAAACCAGCAAGTGTTTAGAATGTATTAGTTTTCCTTTGTTGTATATTTTCCAAAAGTATTTAATATTTTGTAGCTTCATAGTGATGGGCCTCAGATGCGTTGCATTGTGGTGTGTGCGTTGCCATGAGGTAGATTTCGGAACTGCCCTTTATGGATCTTAATTGGCTAAGGCTTTACCATGTTGGCAATGGCAAAAAAAAAAGTCTGTAATTTATCACTTCTGTCTTGTTTGAAATCATAGGAGTGTGGTGATTCTAATCTTGAGCAGGATGTCTTTCTTAGAGAATCCTGGCATTCCCAAGGGAGGAGGCTCAAGTATGATAAAAGCTGAAGCCTGTGTTGATGCTTTAGGTGTGACAGGAACACCATTCCATCTGAGACGGTGCAAAAAAAACAACACTGAACAAGACCAAACATCTGTTATGAGGCGGGGGGTGGTCCCTGGATCCTTCTTGTCCAAGTGCTACTTAAAGGGTATGCTGTTGAGAGAGCTGTTTCCATAAAAGAGAACGCATTTTTCTTCACGGTATCATATTTATAAACATTTATGAGTATCTAAAATATATTTTAAGATATTTTCTTCTTTAAAATTCTGTTTATTTCCATGTTATTATTTTCAAGTTCCACTTTCACAATAATTTGGTATTATATATGTAGCATTTGACACTTGAAAAAATGGTGATGCTGATAGAAAAGGAAATTTTTTTTATCTGCACATGTGGAATTTCTCATGGGACAGGGTTTTTATTAGGTTTCCCACACTGTAATATTTTGGTTTCTTTCTTTGGAATATTTCTCTGAACACTGAAGTACATAGTTGATTCTCAGTTTAATCAGCACGTCTTTATTAAACACTTCCATGTTTCAGGGCCCTGTAATCAGATTTGAGGTTTATAAATGCTTCTGGTACCACAACCTGTCTGCAATAGCCAGGGCTTGTTGGTGTCCTGGAATAAAATTACAGACGACAGATCACTGTGTATGAAGTATTAGGAACTACTGTGAAATTCATGGTATCTGGCTGGACTTAACGGAAATGAGGCAAGGCATGTAGTAAATGTAGCCCCCAAGTAAACATTTCCATAAGCAAAAGAAAACTCTCTCATCATAAAATCTTCTTTGACTCAGAGATCCCCCCATGCCCACCGCCTAACATTCTTATCTTGCCCTTGGAAAGGAATACAAACTGTACTAGACAATGCTGCTCAGAATCTACTTCCAAAACCACCATTAACATACTGGGTCAGTACTCAGAGTTATATACTTCTGAATGTCATCTGGAGCTAAGGTGAGAAATTTTGAAACAAATCATCAAGTTGCTTAGTTTAATACACAGGAAAGCCCATAATAGAGGATGATAGCATTGCTTAATCATGGAGCAGCTATTACTCCCGAATCCTAATGCTGACAGAGACCAGAATATTCCACCAATTCTTACTGAAGGCGCTGATATACAGACGATGGTGCGACCTCTCAGTTCTTTGTCATCCCCTGTATATGCAGCTTAGGTGATAAAATGAATGTACACCTTCCCACTTATTAACTAGGTATTCTTGAACAATTTATTTAATCTTACTGCGCCTTGAGCTCCTTGTAGGCAAAATGTGTAAGGTCGTTGTCACAATGTAATGATATTGGTTTAATGCATCTGACACTGAGGGGCCATCATTATTATTTTGTGTTTCTTTTAGACACAGAATGTTTATGGACCTAACAATGCAAAGCGTTAAAAACAAAGAAGCCAGTAAATTCAAATGTATCTTAATTTACATTATTTATGCTAAGACCTGATGTGAAGACTTGTTTTCCTAAACTTAGATGCAATTATATGTATGACCTTTAAGATTTAATGGATACTCAAGTCTTTTAACTTTCCTTTAAAGGAATGCTTATACTCAGAGGGTTTTTTATAATCCTTTTTGCAATACAGTTTAAAAGAAGAGCGGTGAACAGAGAGTTTAGGTGGTTGGAATGTAGAGTTAATGGTCTATATTATAAAGTAACAAGGCCAGACTATACTACAATAGGACAGCTAATTTGCTTCATTCATTGACCATGCGCTCCTCTCCGGAATTATCTGGGAAATGTGTGTCATTGGTCGACCAGTCATGAGCACTGGTGAGAAAGTGCACATATAACTCCTCTCTTTTTTCTGGATAAAGAACTCAATAAGCCCCAGTGCTGTCAGGTCAATGATCTTTATGGCTTTGGTAATGGTTGTTTAATGAAATTGAGTTTCCATTTGAAGGGGATATTTTATTCTTCCTAATTATATAATAACATCCCATGAAGAATGCATGCTTTGCTTTGTCAAAGATGTCCTTTATTGAAGTGCATTCTATATTAATTACAGTGCTATGTGTCAAGAAGAGGAAAGTCATGGCTGAGAGTCCCAGTTCTGGTGTCGCATAACAGAAATTCAGACCCCAGCTATACCATTTCCTTTTTCAGGGATCTTGGTCCGGTCATTTTACCACAGAGAGTGTCCACTTAGTGCAGTTATTCTACACATACTTAAATTTGTTTTCCCTGCAGTGGGCAAGTGTCTTGATCACTGTATAGCAGGGAACCAAAAAGGTCCGCAAAGAGAGCCTAGGTGATGCTGAGCTTTGGTGAAGCAGGAGATAGAAAAGATGAAACTAAGTCATCAGCAGAAAAAGGTCAACTAGAAAAAGGAAAAAAACAAAAACAAAACAAAAAAACATAGCATCGAAGCCTAAAGTCCATCCACGGCAGCGTGAACTTTGGAGATGTTGACGCATCTGCTTCTCCCACACAACACTGGGGAATGAGGGTTGGGGGATGGTTGCCTACAAGGGGTGGAGGGATCAGTGGGTGTTCAGGGCGGGAACCAAGGGGAAGTGGTCATTGCTTTTGGGCAGAATTGCAATCATATCTCCAAAAATACCTCCTCCCTACCAACCTCAATATAATGACCTTGTTTTGTCCAAATTATAGGCCTGCCAGTTGGAAGACAATGATCTTTAGCACACGTCGGCACCAGCCCCCACCCCCTTTTCAATGGGTTTTACGTCAGGAAATATTCATGGGTTTTCCACCCCTGCTTACTCTTACAGCCACAGGGTCATAGGGTCACCAGATGCCTCATCCATTGTGTTGGGAATGAATAGCCAGTGCAATTCCCCACCCAGTGGTTTCCCCAACCTCTGGAAGGCTGTTTTGACGCCTTTATTCCTCACTCAGATGCTCCCCTAATCTCACTGGGACAGCATTTTAAATCCGTGCAGCAAATTTTATCAGTACCGTAGAGAACTGTAATACATATTTTTAAAAATTGACTTCTTTAGTTCTGAAGTCACTGACATTTTATTAGGTTGGTGCAAAAGTAATGGCTAAAACCACAATTACTTTTGAACCAACCTAATATAACCCACAATACTCACATATTCCTTAACCCATTTCCCATTTGCCCTGAGAAATGAGTTCTGGCAGTGAGATACGCTTTTTCTTTTCCCAAATGGGAAATGGGTTAACAATAACCACAGGTTATCAGTTGTGGATAGAATATCTCAAAATGTATAAAACAATAATATTATTACTACCTAAAATATAAAAAGTATAGTAATATACTAATAAAATAATGAGATATTAAACACAGAAACATTCTAAATTAATGTGCCTTGCTCCCAAGATTTAGTTTTTTAAATATACTTTTTGTTTCAGCACTTTTACAGAGAAGTCGTGAGGACAGTATGAAGTGCTCCCATAGATACAACATCCACAATCCTCTGTTATTAATGTCTTATGTTAGTATGGTCCATTTGCCACAATTAATGAACTGATATTGACACTTTAATGACTACAGTCCGTACCGCATTGAATGTTCTGAGTTTTCACCTAATGTTCTCATTCCATCCACGGGTCCCATCCCAAACCTCATGTGGCATTTAGTCGTCACGTCTCCTTGGGCTCCCCTTGGCTGTGACGGTTTCTCAGGTTTTCCTTGTCTTTGATGACCTCGACAGATTGGAGGCCGACTGGTAAACCATTCTGTGGAAATTCTCTTGATTGTGATGTTTCTGATGTTTTCCTCATGTGTTGACTGGAGCTATAGATTTTTGGGAGGAAAACTAGAGGTGAAGTGTCATTCCCATGACAATGTAAGGAGGGTGTGCTATCACTGTGGCTCAGCACTGCAGATGCTGACCTTAGTCACCTGGCAGAGGTGTTTGTCAGGCTTGTCCACTGCAAGGTTACTCTGGTGTCCTTTTTCCATACTGTAGTCTGGAAAGAAGTAACTGGGAGCCCTCCTAAGGGAGTTACATGCCACCTTCTGAGGGCAGATATGTAGAAACTATTTAGAATTCAACACAAGGAATTTGTTTTATTTTTCTCCCATTTACTTTTTATCCCAATCATTTATCTTCATATGGATTGATGGATATTTAATTTATACCTTGGGCTACCCACATTGAGTTTCAGCAGTCCTCTCTGCAATACTGATGCTATTCCATGTGTTTTCTACAAAGTGGCGACTCTTCCATCTCCAGAGTGTATGCTGGCCGCGCTCATGGAGTTCACGTCCAGTGTGTGGAACACGGCTTCCATCAGCATGCCAGCATGTGAACATCACTGTCTCCTAGCAGGGATCACTTTTTCAGCAAACAGTACTTACCTCATAGAATTGTCAACATTTTGACTGGAGGACTTGGACCTAAAGTGTGGGCCATAGATTTTTCTCATTTATCATACTTTCTGCCACTGTTGCTTCATTGCCCTCTTCCCGCCATTGTTGCTTCATTGCCCTCTTCCCCTGTAAGAACTAATTTCAAAAAAAGTCCAGCAGACTCATTTTGGTGTTAATAAATCTCATGGCTTACCTTGCAAACATTTTTCAGTTTTTACTTTGAAATAATTTTAGACACCACAAAATTGCAAAAATAATACAGACATCCTATATATACTTCACCCACTTGCCTTCCAGTGCTAACATTAACCAGAATGCAATTGTCAAAACTGAAGACATTAATGTTGACACAGCATTATTAACTAAACTGCAGGCTTTACTGGAACTCACCAGGTTTGCCACTGTCACTTTTCTGTTCCAAAATTCTACATTCTATTTATTCCTCCTGTCTCCTGAATCTCCTCCAATTTGTGACAGCTAATTAGTCTTTCCTTGTCTTTCTTGACCTTGACAGTTTTGAAGATTTCTGGTCACCTATTTTTTAAAAAGTCCCACATGTTGAGGCTTTCTGATATTTTCCCATAATTTGGTTGAATTTATGAACTTGGGGGCAGAATACTACAGAATAAATCAGCCATTTCCAGTGTCTCAAATTACAGGGGCTGATATATCTGTTATTTCACTTATGATGTTAACATTAATTACTTGGTAAGGTGGTGTAGGCTGAATATCTCCACTATAAAATTCCTTTTTTTTCCTCTGCAGTTAATGGATATTTTGAAGAAGATACTTTGCTACTTTCTTAATCCATCTGAGCTGTGATTACAAAATATCATAAACTGGAAGGCTTATAAATAATAGGAATTTATCACAATTCCAGGGGCTGGGAAGTCCAAGACCCAAGCATTGCGGATTCAGCAACTAGAGAAAGGGCTGACTCTCTGTTTCATAGATTATGCCTTCTATGTGTCCTCACATGGCAGAAGGGGAAAAAGCTCCCTTGACGTCTTACAAGGGCAGTAATCCCATTCATGAGAGCAGAGCTCTCATAACCTCATAATCTCCCAAAGGCCTCACCTTCTAAGACCACCACACTGAATATTAGGTTTCAACATTTGAGCAGGGACAGGAAGGGGATGATTAAACCAGCAGCTGCTATCCACCTATTCTTTTTGTCTTCAAACTCTTGTTTTAGCATCCTTTTTGACTCAAGGTATTTGAAACTTATTGAAGACCAGTGCAAAGCTAAAAGGAAGAATGGTCACACGGTGACTTCAGCGAATATGAACAGAGAGAAAGAGAGAGAGAGAGATAAAGGGGATAAAAACTAGGGAGACAGAGTGCTAGACAGAGAATAATTTTTGAGATTTTTACAATTGATATCATGCTCTTCTGTTTTAAGCCAACTTGCGTGCAAACGAGTGAGCTAATTTCTCATGATTATGTTCCACCTACATTCATTAAATGTCAAAGTTCAAAAACAGCAATTTATAACAATTTAATAGTTACTTTGCATGGATTATATAACAGGGACAATGTATTGACAAATGTTAATAGAAAAGTAATTTTAAGGAAATCTCATCAGTACATAACACGACTAATTCGTTGGACGCCGATTAGAGTCGCAATATCTAGAGTATAAGTGAATAATGGAAATATTGAAGCATGTACACTCCATGCCACCCGTAAAATTTGGCTTCTGTGTTTTGCATCTACTTCACCTTCGGAGTCTGTAATTGAATGAGTAGTGGGTGTTACACTTACCTGTATATTAGAGGGAATACAAATAAAGGAATTACAAATATATTTAAATGTTGTTGACAGCACTACAATTCTATCATTTGCTATAATCAATATTATGAGGGCCATTTGTTAAGTACCTCCCAATTTAAGTACTATACAAAGTAATCCATACTAATTCAATTCATTTCGGCAGTAATCACAGTTACAGAAGTATACTAATTGGGGCAAAAATATTTATACACAAAGCTAAACAATTGTACAACGCTTGGATATTTAAAGGTGCCAAAAATTCTTTTTTCCTGATAGCCTAATAGTTGTTATGGGCAGAGTAAGAAGTATTTTAAATCAAAAGTATGCCACAGATGAAATTTTTAAAAGCTTAATAGAAATATATACTTTGCTAAAAAGAACCTTATAAATGATTTCATTGAACCTCTAGTTTTGCACATCATAAAATTGAGGCTTTGAGAATTTACTTGGCTTCTTCGCAAAGTCCAGCACCTTTACTGACTCAACTTTGAGTATATATTAGTTCTCCTGGGTCCAAAAGTGATCTTTGGAGAACCTTTAAAATATAGTCAAATTGACTTGTTAGTAATTTAAGGGGGAAAAAATCAATTTAACCTCTCACTTCGCATTGAAAACTGAATAGATTTAAGTAGTTTAGATATAACGACTAAAAGAAAAGGAAGCAAACCATTAAAAGCCAAATTAGTAAGCTCTAAGCCTCCCCCGACCAAGGTTTTGGGCTGTGGTGACTTCTCCTCCTCCCTTTTGCTCTCTCTGTCCCAGGGGTGATAGTTGCTTTGTTTAATTACTAATCTCGGTTAATTATTTTCCTCTTTTGCGCTCTCAGCCCTTCCAAAAGATGTGTAATCAATTCCATGCACTATAATCCCACTGTTTAAAACACATAAAAATGAAAAATAAAGGAGAAATGGCTCTATATGAAAATTTAGAAGAAAGAGGAATGAAATGTATGAAAGCAACAGAAGCAATGATCCAGGAGAACAATCTGAAACCGACGAGGCCATCCCACTTGCCACTGTACCTGTGTCCCGGGGCACAGCTTCTGCCATGCTGGTGCTCAGCACCTGTGCGGTGAGTGGAGGAGTGAACATTACCCCCGTTCCATAAAATTGCAGTACAGTAGTGTGTCCAAAATACAAAATCCAAGTCAAATACCTGTAAAAATGCATAACAGAGAAGCACTTACAAATAAGACAAAATCACAGGGGTGAGGAACATGAAAGTAGAGGTCGGACAACAGAAAATAGAGTTGGTTATCAAACAGGCTGAAAAATATTGCAGCTGGGTGAATAAAGCAGTGCAAGTTAAAATGCAATCAGTTTGCAAAGATTAAAGAATTAATATTCAGCGTTAACAACGGTGTGATATGAGCACGGCTATAGAATGCAACCCTTCTGAAAAGAAATATTATTTAATTCCCCCCTAAAAATTGTCAGACTAACTCAATGTTGTAACAACAACAAACAGGCAAATATATGAGATAAAATTAAATTAAAAATTGATTAAATATACTGTGGGGAAAATAATGGTCTATTCATATAAAAATGGAGGTTTTCTTTCTAAATGATGTTTCTACAGAATAAGCCGAAAATATTTTGAAACGTAAAGAAAAAAATATGCACAAGAGAATCACAGCACGGGTTACATATGGTTACTCACAGTAAGTATTTCTAAGAGTTGAGATTATAGGTAACTTTTATTCTCTTCTTGAAAATGTCCTGACTTTCTAAATTTTCTACAATGGCCACAGGTCATTCTTACCATCAGAGAAAATGCTATCAGTATTGTCAAATAGGAAAACGTCAAAAACGATTATTGACAAACAGAGCCAGCAGAAAATAAATTCTTTTGATACAGTTGTTAAGCACACTTGATGTTAGAGCATAAAGTTTGCAGTGCATTTCCATATCTTTTGATAAGCTGAGTCCTACTTAGTTATGATATATTAAATTATGGAAATTTTCTTCTCTAGCTTCAGTATAGATATCAAGACTTAAAGACGGGCATTTTCCACCATAGACAATCCCTTGGCTGCTCTCAGAAACAGTGGGATAAGCAGCATTGGCAAGGCCTGGAGGTTGCCAGGAAACTCTCTGCACATCTAAGAGCAGGAGGTGGTGGCCGTATCCTGAAGGCATTTGCCTGTGTTTGATGGGAGTTGTGTACATCTTTTATTTAGATGACTGTGAAGTCTGTTTTGGCTTAAAAACATTGAACTCTTAAAAAATGTATGAGGATGGTTTGAAGAGGGGGAAATCACTGTACAAAGACAGGGCAGGGCATGGTGCAGGCAGTCGGGAAGTGAGGAGGAAGAAAACAGTCATGCAGACCTTTAATTACCCCTCTCACTCTGTGGGCATTCCTCCCTTATCCTTCCACCAGCCGCGACCATCCCACAGCCACAATTCCACGTGGCTGTTAGCCAGTGAGCCTTCTTCCTCAGTAGGAGTCTTCAGTTGAAATGCTAATGTTAGTAAGAAGTGGGCTAAAATGTTAAGGAGGAAAAAAAAATTCTTCTGATGTCACTTGCCCATCAAGGAGACTCCATAAGATGGACTGTAAAACTACAAACGGGTGAGGACAGCTCTGGTTTCCTGGGGTAGTACAAGATGCTTGTGCTCATTATTCCAAAATATAATGCCCTGTTTTCCTCTCAAAAGTGCCCCTGTGTGGATGGTGAATAGGATGATCACCCTCCTGACAGACCAGGAAGAAAGGTGCTTTTGGAGATATGACACTTTTTTGTGTCTTTTCCTGAAGTCTGTTTATGGACAACTGCATGTTTTATGTATTCTAAGACCATCCAAACTATCTATCCCCGTGGGCAAAGACTTGAAAACACTCCATATTTCTTGCTTTCGTTATTTTACCCTAACACTGTATTTTCACCTATCTACAGTTGCCATTTTTGACTTCGTTCTTCAGGTCTGCCAATGAACATGCCTGGAAATATTCATCACTCCTTTTCTACCTATAACAGCCTCTTAATCTTCACAAATTGCTCTAGCTCCCTGCCCTGTCCCCACTATTGCTCCTTGCCCGTACCCCCACTATCGCCCCCCCCCCCCACCCCACCTTTGTCTGTTTAATCATTGTTTTCTAAGACTCTGATTAGAAACCTGGAACAGATCATTGGCTCTTCTTCAGCTTCATGTCCTGTGTTTAATTAGCCCCTAGGTTCTTTAAATTCACTCTAGACTTTGCTCAGCAGGCCGTTTTCCTGCCATCCTCTCCTGGGCCATCCTAGAGCAGGTGGCCATTCATTAGACAAGAACCACTTGGACGTCTCTGCTGCTCATGCTTAGTCTGCTCCAGACACGGATGCAGCTGCTTATTTTCCTAAATGCCACCTTTATAATCTAGCCGTCTACTCAGAAAACATCCAGCTAAAAAACAACTTCATGCTCCTGGCTTTCAGGACCATTTCTTAGCTGCTTCCCTTGTCTTCCCATGGCTCATTCCTGGACAGTGTGAGTCGCTTGAGTGGGACTGACCAGCCTCTTCTCTCTAGATCTGCTGTGGGCATTCTCTCCTCACTCCTGCCAGTAGCAAGCTGTCTTCCTTTCACTCCGTAGGACAGATAAAGTTCCATTCCTTCTACAAAAAGTTTTTTCAGGTGCCTTCAGCCCCTATGACTTTCTTTTTATTATTACTGATATCCCCTGACACCTATAATCAGATTCTGAAAATAAAGAAAAAGATTACATTGTACTGTAATTATATTGTACTCTAATACAGCATAACAGTAGGTAGGCTGTATTAAAAAAAATTAACTCACACGTTAGTGATGGTGATGATGTTGTGGGGACTGCTGTTAATCCTTCCTCAAAGCTAACCCTGGACTGGAACTCAGAGGGGGGATCTAAAAGGGGAGGGTAAGGACGTACTTATCCAGCTGATGGGTCAATAAAATGGCAGGTGTGAAAACCATGCTTCGGTCACATATGATACACTTCATTATTGATTATATTATTTAAGTTCAATTTGATCACGTATTTTTACTGAGAATTCTGTCTTAATTTCTGTCATAGTTCATACTGGCTTTTCCGTTAATGGTATATATCAAGTCTACTCAGTAGAGACACTAAAGTCTTCTAGGTATAGAGAGAAAGGGGAAATTTTCATTTTAATACCTCACTAACAGCTTCTGCGTTAAAGCAAAAGAAAGAATTATACATATACATAGAAAAGCTCCTTTGGCTAGTACTGTCTTCCAGGCTTTGACGACTATAACAAATTTATCAAAGAGAAAAAGTGCCCCAGGGAGAACCTGATAATAAGATGGCACAGTGTTCCTTCCCCGGAGGGAAAGATGACAGTATAGAAATGTTTCCTTCTAATTAAATTAAAGTGAAACGTTTCATTAAACTATCATAACTTCCATAATATTTTTAGAAAAGAAATTTCAGTTATGTTCATGAATCACCATCGCACATAGGAAAATTAAATAAGATGAAATTAAATGATAAGAGTTGAGTACGTAATAGAAGTGAGAGGAATAATGCAGTAGTTCTGAAAGTTTTTTGCTAAATAAACTTTTTTAGGACAGTTTTAGATTTATGGGAACATTTCAGAGATATTGCAGTGTTTTCAAATACTCCACACTCTGTCTCCTCTGTTGTTAACATTTTATATTCTGGTGGCACATTTGTTGCAGTTAATAAACCAACAGTGACACGTTATTAACTAAAAATCCTATGTCGCATACTTTCTTTGGTTATTACCTAATGTTCCCTTTCTGTCCCTGGATCACACTTGACATTTACTTATCATACCTTCGTAGGCTCCTCTTGGCTGGGGTAGTTTCTCAGACTCCTCTTGTTTGTGATGACTTTGACAGTTTGGAGCAGCACCGGTCAAGGGGTATCATGGGTTGCTCCTCCCTAGGGAGGTGTCTGATGTTTTTCTCATGATGAGACTGGAGTTTGGGGTTTTGGGAGACAGACCACACAGGTAAACTGTCTTCTCATCACATCAAATCAGGGTTATACACTGTGAGCCCGAATCATCACTGCTGATGCTAGCTGAGGGCTGTCCAGTGTGAAGTCACTTTATATTTTCCTCTTGCCACACTGCACTCTTCGGAAGCAAATCACTATGTGCTACTCATGCTTAAGGGATGGGGAGTTACACTTTGCCTTCTTGAGGGCTATATTTCCATGTAAATAATTTTGTAGTCTTCTGCACTGGAAATTGGGCTTTCTTCCTATTTTATTTTTATCAGTATGCACTCAAGTATATTTATTGTACACTTTGGGTTATCCAATGCTACTTTTTTTTTTTCTTTTGCCTCCATTTTCTAGGTTTGGACAGTGAGAACTCTTTCAGTTAGCTATTGAGTCCTTTGACAGGCCTGCATCAATGTGGCTTTTTGTTTGTGATTTTTTTTTTTTTTTTTAACACTTCCTTACTTTCTGACAGTAAAAACGCTCACCTTGTTTTAAGTGTACCTCAAACCTAGAAACAGCCATTCCTCCAAAAGGCTTTGAATCATTTTATTGGATGAGGTATTAGAGGACTTTTTTTCTGTTTTTTGTTGTTGTTGTTTTAAGTGACACTTAACTATTGCCCTTGAATTGAGTTCACTAATTCATGGTATACAAAAATATATGTCAAATACAGATGAAATGATTACCTTTTGACAGCAGCAATGGAAAACAGCATGTGGAAGGAAACACTAAGCGTTCCTCCTTCACTTTTAATGCTACCACAGTCTGTTCTCATGATGTCATTTAACCCACAGACTTAATAAAATGAAATGGAGAGCCGACGTTATGTATCTTTACTTCATATAAAGTTTTACTTTTTCCTGCTTTAGCTTATACCTTAATGGCTAATACTGACAAAAAAATATCTCTTTTTGGACAAGTAGAAGGTTAGAGAAATGCACATAGAAAAATGCTAATATTCAGTAAATGGACTTTGCACTGAGATAGAAAGGGCTTTTCTTCCACCTCAGCCACCTACTGCCATGTTCACCCCAGACCTTGCCATGACCTGTAGCTATATCGTGCTGAACCTTTGAACTCTTATGTCTTCAGTCATAACATTTCCATCACGGCAATGAGTTTATATTAGCGGAGCTACCACTTTTCGTCATCATTACTCTTGTGAAATCCACACTTCCCTTCTTAACTTGCATGGCCTCCACAGTCCACAATCGTAAATATTTATTTTGATCAATTCAGTTTACTTGACCCTGTTCCTCCACTACAATTGCTTGGCAGTCCAACAACATGAATTAAAAAACAATATTTGTCTATTATGTAACCGTAAAGACCTTAGGCGTTTGAAAAATACATAAAAACATACATACATACAAAGTAATGATTATATAGCTAACATTCTACTAACTTTAAGATATAAGAACTTTAAGACGTAAGAAAGAAAATAAGTGAATTTGTGCAGTAAGATGAATTTTTATGAAGCAGAGAAATCAGCATTTTGAATCCATGAATGAAAAAATAATACATTGCTTTAAAAAATTTATAACGATATTGTCTCTTTGCATAAGGGAATATCCCATATCTAATATTGAAGCCTTAGGTTTATTATATTTTCTATCCCCAGACATGCCCTCTGCTCCATTTCCTCCTTAAAAACCTAATGCTTACTTGAATTAAACAGAATAAAAATATGTTTAATACAAAATATAACAGGAAGTTTCTCTCAAAACCCTGCATTTAAAACTTTAACTTGCCTGTTGCCAGTAGTCTGTGAGTATCTTGGCCTCTCCAGCCCAGCAGAGGCGCATCCTCAAGGGACTAGAAGCCAAACTGCTGACCTGGTCCTAATCCCCCACGGTGAGAGCATGTAGCCCAGCAGTGTGGAGCTGAGCCTTGACCCCTAAAGTATCCAGAAATAAAGTCATTCAGCTATACCCAACTTGTTCTACTGTGAAACTCTCAAGGGCAATAAAGACCATAAAAACAAAATGCCCCATCTAAAGAACAGTAACTTCAAAGGGAAATGATGATTAGCCTTCACAAAAGAGAATGAACCACTCCAAGACCCTAGTAACACTAAAGGTCAGTGTGTCTTCTTGCCTCCAAACAATCACACTAGCTCGCCAGCAATGGATTCAAACCAGACTGAAATGGCTGAAGTGTGTCAGACATAGACTTCAGAATCTGGATGGCAATGGAGCTCATCAAGATACAAGAGGAGGTTGAAACAGAATCCAAGGAAAACAATAAAATGATCTAAGAGTTGGAAGCCAACATAACCATTTTAAGAAAGAACCAAACTGGATCTTGTGAATTAAATTTGCCACAGGAATTTCGAAACACAACTGGTGACATTAACTGTATAACAGACCGAGCTGAGGAAAGAATCTCAGGTCTTGAACACCACTCCTTTGAAGCAACGTGAGCATACAAAAATTAAAAATGAATTTTTAAAAATGGACAAAACTTCCAAAAATATGAGATTATGCAAAGAGACCAAACACAACTCATTGTTATTCCAGCAAGAGAAAGAGAGCAAGAAACTTGAGAAACACATTTGAACATATAGTCCATGGAAATCCTTCCAGTCCCATTAGGACAGTTGCCATGCAAATGCAAGAAATTCAGAGAATCTCCATGAGATATTATACAAGATGACCCTTTCCAAGACAATATCATCAGATTTTCCAAGGTCTGTGAGAAAGAAAAAATCTTGAAAGCAGCTAGAGAGAAGGAGCAGGTCACTTACAAAGGGACCCCCATCAGGCTAACAGCAGACATTTCAGCACAAACCTTACAAACTGGGAAAGACTGGGAGCCTGTATTGAATATCCTTAAAAAGTAATTCCAAACAAGAATTTCGTATCTCACCAAACTAACCTTCATAAGCAAAGGAGAAATGAAATTCTTTTCAGGAAAGCCAAAGCTAAGGTAATTTGTTGAAACTCGACCTGCCTTACCAGACTATCTAAAAGGCATGCTAAATATGGAAATGAAAGAATGACTACCACCGAAAAACACACTGAAGCACATACCTCATTGACATTATAAATCAACTATACAACTAAGTCTACATAAGAACCAGCTTACAGCAAGATGATAGATACAATTCTCACGTGTCAGTATTGACCCAGAATGTAAATGGGTTAAATGTCTAACTTTAAATGCATAAAATACATTTTACCCAAATGGAAAGTTGGGTAAAGAAGCAAGACCCAACTCTCTGCTGTCTTCCAGATACTCGTCTTACAAGTAACAACACCCATAGTCTCGAAGTAAAGGGATGGATAAAGATCTATCAGGCAAACAGAAAATGAACAAACAGGAGTAGCTAATTCTATATTAGAGAAAACGATCTTTAAACCAACAACAATAAAAAAAGACAAGGGCATTACGTAATGATAAAGGGCTCAACTCAACAAGAAGACAACTATTTTAAGTAGTTAAGTCACTCAACGTGGGAGCACTCATAGTCATAAAACAAGTTCATAGAGATCTACAGACAGACTTAGACAACCACTCAATAATACTGGGAGACTTCAATACTGCACTGACGGTGTTAGACAAATCATTGTGGCAGAAAACTAACAGATATTTTGAACTTAACCTTGACACTTGACTAATTATACGTCAGAGACATCTATAAAACACTCCACCCAACAGTGATAGAATATACTTTCTTCTTACCTGCACATGGCACACAGTCTAAGATCAACCACATGCTTGGCCTTAAAGCAAGTCTCAATAAATTTAAAAAAAAATTCAATTCATAACAACCACAAATAAAACAGCACAAACAAAAATGAAGTCGTATCAGAAAGACCCATCAGAGCCATACAATTACATGGAAGTTGAACTTGACACCAAATGACTTTTAGGTAAAGAATGAAATTAAGTCAGAAATCAAAAAAAGTTTTTGAAACCAGTGAAAATGGAGACACAAAATACCAGAATCTCTGGGAAACAGCTAAATCAGTGTTAAGAGGAAAGTTTTTAGCACTTAATGTCTATATCAAGAAGTCAAAAAGATCTTAAATTAGCAACCTAACATCAAACCTAGAGGAACTAGAAAAACCAGAGCAAACCATCCCCAAACATAGCAGAAAATAACCAAAATCAGAGCTGAACTGAATGAAATTGAACTGCTAAAATCCATATAAGAGATCAATAAAACCAAAAGTTGATGATTTGAAGGATTAAATAAGATTGATAGACTGTGAGATAGATTAATTTTAAGAAGACCCAAATAAAGACACTTAGAAATGACAAAGCTGACATTACAACCTATCCAACAGAAATACAAAAAATCCTGAGAGTATTATGAGCACCTCTGTATACACAAACTAGAAAACCTAGGAGACTAGATAAATTCCTAGAAATACACAACATCTCATATTAAGCCAGGAAGAAATTAAAATCCTGAACAGACCAATAAGTTCCAAAATTGAATCGGTAATAAAAAGCCTACCAACCAAAAGTCCTGGACCAAATGTATTCAAAGCCGAATTTTACCAGATGTACAAAAAAGAGCTAGTACCTATCTTACTAAAATGATTCCCAAAAATTTGAGAAAGAGGGACTTCTCTCTAAGTCACTTTATGAAACCAGCATCATTCTGATATTAAAACCCTGGTAGAGACACAACAGAAAAATGAATCTTCTGGCAAATATTCCTGATGAACGTAGAAAATACCAGCAAACTGAATCCAGCAGCAGATGAAAAAGCTAATTCACCACAATAAAGTAGGCTGTATACCTGTGATCTAAAGTTGGTTTAACATACACATATCAATAAATGTGATTCACCATATACACAGAACAAAAAAGCCACAAGATCATCTCAGTAGACACAGAAAATGCCTCTGATAAATTCAGCACACATTCATGTTAAAAACCCTCAACAAATTAGGCATTGAAGGAATATATCTCAAAAAAATGATCATCTATGAACACCATACTGAATGAGAAAAAGCTAGAAGCACTCCCCTTGAGAACAGGAATGAGACAAGGATGCGCACTTTGACCACTATTCAACATAGTACTGGAAGTTCTAGCCAGAGCAATCAGCCAAGAAAAGGTGTCTCACTTCACTGACAATGTAACTCTATACCTAGAACACCCCATAAAGCCTGCCAGAAGGCTTCTAGAACTGATAAACAACTTCAGTAATGTTTCAGGATACAAAATAATGTACGAAAATTAGTAGCATTTCTATACCCTATCGAAGCTCAAAGCCGAATTAAGAACACAATCCTATTTAAAAATAGCACAAAGAATAAAATACCTAGGGATATAACTTACCAACAATGAAAAATATTTCCACAGCAAGAATTACAAAACACTGCTGAAAGAAATCAGAGATGACAGAAACAGATGAAAACCATTCAGTGCTCATGGTCAGGAAGACTCAATATTGTGAAAATCATCATACCACCCAAAGCAATTTACAGATTCAATATTAATATCAAAGTACCAATGTCATTTTTTACAGAATTAGAAAAAGAAAAACCATTCTAAAATTTATATGGAGCCCAAAGAGCCCCACATTAGCTAAAGCAGTCCTGAGCAAAAGGAACAAAGCTGGAGGTATCACACTACCCGATTTCAAACTGTACTGCAGGACTACATTAATCAAAACATCATGGTACTGGTACAGAAATAGACACATAGACCAATGAAAAATGAGAGAGGACCCAGAAATAAAGCCATACACCTACAATCACGTGATCTTTGACAAAGTTGACAATATCAGACAATGGGGAAAGGACTCCCTATTTAAAAAATGGAGCTGGGAAAACTGTCTAGACTCATGCAGTCTGGCCCGGCTGGACTTATGAGACTGGACCCCTTCCTTACACCACATACAAAAAATAACTCCAGATGGATTAAAGGATTCAATGCAAGCTCTAACACAATTAAAATCATAGAAAACAACCTAAGAAATACCATTCTGAACATTGGCCTTGGTAAACAATTTATGAATAAGTCTCTAAAAGCAATTGCAATAAAAATAAAAATTGACAAGTGGGACCTATTAAACTAAGAAGCTTCTGCACAGCAAAAGAAGTTATCAACAGAGTAAGCAGACAACCTCCAGAATGGGAGAAAATATTTGCAGAGTACACATCCAACAAAGGTGTAATATCAAGAATCTGTAGGGAACTTAGACAAATCAGCAAACGAAAAACAACCCTATTAAAAAAATGGGCAAGGACATGAACAGGCACTTCTCAAAAGAAGATAAACAAGCAGCCAGCAAACCAAATGACGAGTTAATGGGTGCAGCACAGCAGCATGGCACATGTATATGTATGTAACTAACGTGCACGTTGTTCACATGTACCCTAAAACTTAAAGTCTAATAATAATAATAAAATAAAAGAAAAAGAAAAAACGCTCATCAGTAACTATTAGAGACATGCAAATCAAAACCACGATGAGATACCATCTCTCATGAGTCAAAATTGCTGTTAATAAAAAGCAAAAAAAACAACAGATGCTGGTGAATTTGCAGAAAAAAAAGTAACGTTTTTATATGCTGTGAGTGGAATGCAAATTAATTAAGCTACTGTGGAAAACTGTGGAGTTTTATCGAAGAACTTAAAACAGGACTACTATTTAAACCAGCAGTCCCACCTTTGGGATTACCCAAAAGGAAATAAATCATTCTGTCAAAAAGACACGTGCATGCATATGTTCATTGCAGTGCTATTCTCAATGGTAAACACGTGGAATCAGCCACGATGTTCACCAATGGTGAACTGGCTAAAGAAAATGTGGTACATATGCAAAGTGAGACACTATGCAGCCATAAAACAGAAAAAAAAAAGAATCACGTCTTTTGCAGCTACATGGATGCAGTTGAAGACCATTATCCTAAGTGAAGCAATGCAGAGACAGAAAACCAAATGCTGCATGTTCTCATAAACGGGAGTGAAACACTGAAGACAGTGACACAAAGTAGGGAACAACAGGTGCCGGGTACTACCTGAGTGGGGAGGGTAGGAGAGGCTCATGGATTGGAAGGCTATCTGTCAGGTACTGTGCTCACTACCTGGGCGACAGGCTCATTCCTAAATCAAGCCTCAACAACACACAGTTTCCCCATGAACAAACCTGTACGTGGATACCCTGAACCTAAAAACATTTTCAAAAAAGAAAAAAATAATAAAACTTTAAAGATGAAATATTTTGATATCAAAAGAAAATTACTCTTTAAGTAGATTTTTAGTGATGTTTCCTTGGTGGAATCTAGAAAAGTCAAAAGATCAAAACCTCTGGAGGGTAATGCCAAGAGTAATCAGGACTTGACTATAAATTCGGTCACCGGAGTCAGCTATTCAAATCTGGAAGCTCAGCCTAAAGCACGTGGCAGAAAGTCTCAGGCTGGATCAGAGGCTGGAGTTTGCCTTAGGTTTTAACCACAGGAAGCAACTGTTAAAATTCACCGTTAGTGTTCAGAGTAAACAAATCAAGTACAAAGACAGAAACCAGAGTATCTGCTTGATATCATCAATAAGAGGCACAATCATAAGTAACTGTCTCTGATATCACAGGGAATTTAATCACAACGCCTGGATTCGTAGCACTGCCCTAAGGCCAGTAGACTTGGAGAAAAAGAACAGACAATCTAAAAAGAAATGTTGTCTTTTATTTTTCCCCAGAGGTTAGGCAAAATTAACATTTAAAAAGAACACCTAAAATACAGAAATGTGAAAAAATGATGCATGATTTTGATAATCTTAGCATTTCAATTAGTTGTACAGTTTTCAGAATCAGGTGTAATCCTAAATTTATTTACACTTACAGTTTTTCTTTAAGAAAGTAAAATTACATTCCAAACTACTTAAGCATTAACAAAACTCTTTTTTTATATATAGACAAGGTGCAAATATTTATTGTGAGCAAAACTACCAAATTCAAAATAAAAATATGATATGCTGTATATTAGTTCACTATATGTCTACACACTTAAAGTATTTAAACTTTTTCTTGTAAACTTGCCATTACAACTGATGAATATGGAAAATGTCCTCACAATTGAAAGAGAACATATTTCATAAAATATCATCTGAGTTCCATTAGAATATAAATGTTTTCGAGTAAAATTTAAACATATTAAATCCCTTGCACGTTTTTGTCGGGTGCTTTGATTTAGGTTCAATATTTGGTTATGATTTTAGTAACAGGCAGTGTATTATATTGATTATCTTTTTTTTTTTTTTTTTTTTTTTTTTTTTTTTTTTTTTTTTTTTTTTTGAGAAGGAGTCTCGCTCTGTCGCGCAGGCTGGAGTGCAGTGGCGGGATCTCGGCTCACTGCAAGCTCCGCCTCCCGGGTTCACGCCATTCTCCTGCCTCAGCCTCCCAAGTAGCTGGGACTACAGGCGCCCGCCACTACGCCCGGCTAATTTTTTTGTATTTTTAGTAGAGACGGGGTTTCACCGTTTTAGCCGGGATGGTCTCGATCTCCTGACCTCGTGATCCGCCCGCCTCGGCCTCCCAAAGTGCTGGGATTACAGGCGTGAGCCACCGCGCCCGGCCATTGATTATCTTTTTAAAAAATGTTTTAACTGACAATGTAGAGTCTTCTAGAAAGCAAGAGAGGAAATTGTATTACTAAAAATAGATTACTTTGGAAAAAACATGAAAAACAAATGAATCTTGTATGGACTAGGGCAATAATGGAAGCTATAACAGTAAACAGGAACTGAAGAGGGGAAAGCTGTTTTCTTAGGTAAGATTTCTCTTTATTTTAAGGGCCCTAGTCTTATCAAGAGGACCTTAATGTTCCCCTTGGCTTAAAGAAAGTTGTAATCCTTTCTGCCCCTTTGAGATGTAAAGCATTTTTAATGTTAATTAACTACTTATTTTTACAATAACTTATTTTTTAAATTTTTGTGGGCATTTAGTAGGTATATATATTTATGAAGTACAAGAGAGATTTTGATACAGGCATGCAATGCATAATAAAGACATGATGGGGAATGGGGTAGCTATTCCCTCAAGCACTTAACTTTTCTGTTACAGACAATTCAATTATAGTCTTAGTTATTGAAATAAGTACAATTAAATTATTGACTACAGTCAGTCAACCTGTTATGCTAGCAAAAAGTAGGTCTTACTCATTCTTTCTTTTTTGTACTTGTTAACCATTTTCATCTCCCCCCTGCCCTACACCCTTTCTAGACTCTGGTAACCGTCCTTTACTCTCTATGTCCATGAGTTCTATTGTTTTGATTTTCAGATCCCACAAATAAGTGAGAACATGTGATGAATTTATAAAGAAAATGAGATACATATACATAGTGGAGTACTATTCAGCCATGAAAAATGAGATCCTGTCTTTTGCAACAACATGGGTGGAACTAGAAGTCACTTTGTTAAGTGAAATAACCAGGCACAGAGCGATGTAATGCTTTTTAAAGGCTGCCTGCCAGTTGTATGTCCTGGCACCGTCCTTCCCAGGGACGTTGATGTTGTCTCTTTGAAATGGGTCCTCCAGGCAGATGGCGCTCCTGTTTCCTACAATCTGTAGTAGGGAGGGAGTTATTGCTCTTCTTTCTTAGCTTTGCAAACAATAAAAGTATGCTTTTCCTCCTCCAGAGAGGGGGTGGTGGGGAAGATAGAGCTGGAAAGACCCTAAATGAGGGGAGCAGGAATAAAATCCTGGAGGCCAGAACATTTTTTTATCCCTCTTACGTATAAAGCATGCACGCACATGCATACACATACGAGTACCTAAAACAGTTATGCAGGGTACCTGTAGTATAGAATTTCATGACGGGCAGGAGGGAAAAACTTTGAAAAGGCTCCTTTAAGGGGTGATAATGGAAAAAGAAAATTGAGAAACACTGACCTTGGTCATCATGGAAGATCCACCAAATACAAAATGGTGGCATTTCCTGTTTAAGCCTGTTTAGGTATGTTTGAAACTGTCTCTCACCTATTATTTACTCTGTTGAAAGTGTCTGATGAAGTCTCTGATATTATGATCCACTGTGACCTGGCTGCTCTGAAGAGAAAATTCAATTTTCTCCCTTCCGTAGTAGCAGAAGTAAATACTGAAAATTCAAAATCTATTCAAAGACTGCTACTGAGATGTTTGTTGATAGCAGTTTTTAGATATTTGGCTTAAATTACATAGACTTGTCCTAACAGTTTAAGAAATAATCTTTTACATTTAATTAAATTACTTTTATAACTCAGATGAGCCATGAATTTATAGAGACCCTGATAACCAATGGGGAACAACTATCCCATATTATAAAATCAAACTACAATAATAATTCCCTTTCATTTTTAAATTTAACTTAAAAACTAAATTGCTCAGTAAGTAAAAACTGATTACACAACAATGTAAAGAAAGTCCTTTTCTCTTACAAATCTTATCAGTCATCCCATAATTTCTTTTATTTCACTGTCCTTTCCTTCTTGAGGCCAGTAGAGGGGGTAGCAAACTGGTGAAAAGAGAAAAGAATGTTTATTGAGCAGCTATTTTGTGCTACACTTCACGGGGCTATATTATCCACTTCCCACAATAAATTAAAGATCCTGTTCTATCTATTGCACAAATTAAGCAGACAAATGAGGAAGAGTTCTCTGAAGAAAGCCGTAATCTTATCAGCAAGGGACCTTTAACAAAACTCTTCTTGTCCAAAGTTACATCTAATCCCTCGGACCTGAGACTCTGTCCCCAGGCTCTGCTGGACCACTATGAGTGCAGGGGGCAGACAGATGAGCTTGGGGTCTCAAGGTTCAGTTACAACCCCAGGGCCAAGGAGTCCACCTGAAGGAGGAGGAGTCCACTGCTTGTGTTCTGGTTGAAATCCCCTCTCATGGAAAAAACAAGTCTTTTGTTAAAATCTCCCAGGATCCTTTGGAAAATACAGATGTAATGGACTTTTTCTTCACTGTACTCATGTAAATTGAATTACCCTCTGTCATAATTCTATTTTTATAAAGTACTTGGATTTGTAATTCTGTTCTCATTTGTATATCAATTAAATTATCTCAGCCTTTATTTTCACAGGTTCCTTATGTATCCTACCTCTAATCCTTGTCTTGCTTTTTCTTAATCTAAGGATAGGAAACTTTATTTATTTATTTATTTATTTATTTTGAGATGGAGTCTTGCTGTGTTGCCCAGGCTGGAGGGCCTTGGCGTGCAGTGGAGTGAACTCGCCTCACTGCAAGCTCCGCCTCCCGGGTTCAAGCAATTCTTCTGCCTTAGCCTCCCAAATAGCTGGGAGTACAGGCGCCCCGCACCACGCCTGGCTAGTTTTTTGTATTTTTAGTAGAGATGGGGTTTCACCGTGTTAGCCAGGATGGTCTCGATCTCCTGACCTCGTGATCCGCCCACTTCGGCCTCCCAAAGTGTTGGGATTACAGGCGTGAGCCAAGCCGTCGCACCTGGCTGCTGATAGGAAACTTCTTTAAGGAAAAACAAAACAAAAGGGACAGCAAAGCAGAGAGTTGGGAGTATAAAATAGGGCAACTGCGTTTCACAGAGGAACAAACTTGAACTCTACGACTTTTTAACTTTGTAGGACCGTGGTCGTTACCTGATCTTGCAGGCCTCCGTCTTCTAATCTGTAAAGTGGAAATGCAATAATGTCGACCTTATTAGGCTGTAATGAAGATAAAATGAGTTAGTTTTTCAGATTACTTAGAAGCAGTGCCTGAGACACAGTTAGCCCTTCATGAGGCTACATTAAATCAATTAAAAATCACAGATGACTGCAGATATCAGATATATCATTATCTAATATTTTAAAAATAAGTTTCTTTATCTTGTATTATTTATGAGTAAGTAGTAATATTTTCTTTTACGCCTTTTCCTTCCTGCTTTTTGAGTAACTTAGGTATTCCACTGAAAACCAGTTGTCTAATTTAAGCCTCACAGCTTAATAAGTCTAATTTAGCCCATTCTACAAATGATAAAGCTTCAGCTCAGAGATTCAGTGACTATTTCAGCATCCACACAGTGTGTAGCATGAGAACTGACAAAACATCTGTTGGGCACGAAAAATCCAGTTTTTCTTTTCAATATAGCATTAATTTTAAGAAATATTTTATTTTAAAATGTCTTCAAATATTAGTCAAATATCTACTGTCAGTCAAGTATTCCTCAAGTCCCATGAAATGATTAAAAAGAAATTCACCTGCTATCAGAAGCCTAATTCTACTTTCAGGGGACCTGTCAGTGCTTTACCAATATTAAAGATAGATAAAGGAGACCAGAAGCTCCGTGATTAATTGTGTCAGGAACTGTGAGATTACGAACCCCGAGGGGCCGGGTGCAGTGGCTCACACCTGTAGTCCCAGCACTTTTGGAGGCCGAGGTAGGCGGATCACGAGGTCAGGAGATCGGAGACCATCCTGGCTAAGATGTTGAAACCCTGTGTCCACTAAAAAACAAAAAAAAAATTAGCCAGGTGTGGTGGCGGGCAGCCTGTAGTCTCAGCTACTCTGGAGGCTGAGGCAGGAGAATGACGTGAACCTGGGAGGCGGAGCTTGCAGTGAGCCGAGATCGCGCCACTGCCCTCCAGCCTGGGCGACAGAGCCAGACTCCATCTCAAAGAACCTGGGAGGAACAGGAAGTATGTGCAAGAAAAAAGAGGTTATGATAACGGGCTCTTCTATGACTTAAAACACAGTTAATTAATTCCACAAATACTGTTTTATAGATGGAGTTTGCAGTAACTTACAATTAGGGTAAAGAGGCATGTGTTAATCATGCAACAGATAAGAGGAGGATTTGCACTTCCCATGGAGCTGGATGCATTTGGGGACCACTATTAAGTAAAAGCAAATTCAGGGAGGTAGATGTGTGTTCATCAGGAAATCAACATTAGATGAGAAGGGTTACCCCCTAAAATGGTGACAAATGCCACGCGTTTACTCGGTGACAGTCACTCTCACGTGTAGTTCATCCTCTCAGATCATCCTCACAGCCAAACCTGCAGAGAGGAAACCAGACATACAGATATGTTAAGTAACTTGTCCGAGATCCCAGGCGGTCAGAGACGAGAGGAACTGTATGCTCAGATGGGGACAGGGAAGAGAGCTGGAACTCCACAACTGGGATGGCAGTGGCATTTGGCTAATTGAGCATCCTAACCATGTGGAAGATCTCCAGTAGGGAAGCATTCTTTCACTGAACGTTGATGTTTTAAACTGTGGTTAAAAGGTAGGGGCTGTTTAGAATTTAGTAGTGTTGTCTCTGGACTTGCACTGAGTCTTGCTTCCGACAGTAGGAGAGATGGTGGGTTCCTGCAACTAGCCTGTACTCATTGTGCGTTCTTTACCAACTCCTTGACGTGGACCCTTGGAATGAATGTAGAAGTGGGCCAGGCCACAGTGCTCCTGTCTATAGACAAACACACTAAAACCCAGAGGGCTGAGGATTCATACCCAGAATCAACCACACACATTTGCAAGGGGAGCATGACTCAAACACAGGTTCATTGACTCTTGAGTTAATTCAGTCTTTTAGAACACCATGTAATCTCCAAGGAACACAGGGCTCTTCTGCGCAAGAGGATTGGAAGGAGACATCTCTATTTGCAAGGTTGGGGAAGTCTATAAGAGACAAAGAGGAAGGATTCAATCTTGTTTTTAAAGAATGGCTTAGCTTTAAATTGCTCGAGAAAATAGGAAGAAAAACAAAGCTTCTCTAGTTAATATGTTATTGTGAGTTTAAACCCTATTGATAATTTCTGTAGATAATTATAGTGTTTAGATATGTTGTACCTATTTGGCCCCTGCACAATAATGCACTGCAGCCATATATACACAGAATATATCTATTGAATTAAATATTCTTGAAGAGTGAAGTAATCTCAGA
Source organism: Homo sapiens (assembly GCF_000001405.40). Lineage (NCBI taxonomy): Eukaryota > Metazoa > Chordata > Mammalia > Primates > Hominidae > Homo > Homo sapiens. Next base: position 4,359,237 of record NC_000008.11, on the reverse strand, counting down.
AGGAGGGACACCCCTCTCTACAGATAATGCAACTCATGCTCTGGGACTTTTGTGAAATTGCTGATAACCAAGTAACTTATTAGTGACCGAACTGGGCTACAACTCTGCCTTCTAAATTTCTACCCTAGTATTCCTGCATTTATTAATATACTATGTGTAACTGGAATACTTCATTCGTATCACATGTATATTGATTTTGCCACATATATAGGCATATATGTATATATTATATGCCTATATATGTCAACTTAAATGTGTGTGTGTGTGTGTGCACAAGACTCTGGAAGTGTAGTACTGAATGTACTAATTATTCAGTTTTTTTAATAAAGGTTCACTGTCCTGTAGTTTTAGGTTTATGGTGATTATTGGTAAAACCGTGTTTAAAAGTTATTTGAGCACTGAAACCAAGGCACTCTTACGTGATTTATAACTTGTTTACCCTTGCCTTGGCTGACAAAGCTTTATTGCAACCTAATTGCTTTTTGAAATCATATACACTTATCTTGAGAGATATTTTAATGATTAAGCTACAAATACCTGGTTTCTACTCTTAGAAAAAGTATGCAAAATACCAAGTTAGCACTAAAAGGAATTCATAAATTATTGCATGATATAGTTATACCCTGTTAGACTATTACTTTCAGCACACTTTTTCTTTAAATGGCCAGATAGTAAATATTTTAAGTTTTGTAGGCCATATCGTCACCTCTGCATCTGCGGAGCTCTGCTGGTATCGCAAAAGGAGACATACACCTTGTGGAAAGGAGCCAGTGGCAGCTCCCCCCAGGCCGACTGTGTGGACACTGAAATTTGAATTTCATATATTTTCACGTGTCACGAAACAGTCCCCTTCTTTTTCTTTTCAACCATTAAAAAGTGTAAAATCATTCTAAGCTCATGGGCCTTACAAAACTAGGCAGCTGTCAGATGGCACCAGCTGGATCTGGCCCATGGCCGCGCTCCACACCCACTGGTAAAGCAAAAGTTCAACAAGCCCCACAGTGACATTCATTTGGTACATAAAATTATAACACCCCAGAAGACATTCATCCCTGAATAAAGTGAACGTCATCATAATTTTGCATGCATGGAAATTTTGAGAATAAATTTTGAGAATAAATTAAATTGGCTGATCATAGCATATGTATGTATACATATATACATATATACGTAAGTATACATGTAAATCAGCAGCAGCTACTGTGTATTCCTCAGGACAGAAGTTCCATGGGAAGGGGAGGGAGATGTTTATTATACATCTTAAACTGAGTCTCATTCAGGCATTACACCACTAGCAATGGGCTTTTAATTAAGTATATTCTCTATTTTTTATAAATACTACAATTATACGTCTATGATTTTAGCATTAAAATATGATAAATTTTAAGTGATATTACTCACACTTTTAAATTTTGTAATACTATTTTGGTATTTCTCCTCCTCTGTCTCCCCATCCTCCTTATTCTTTTCATTTTTCTTTTACAATATACCTTTAAAATTTTGGCTTGAGTATCTCTTGATCTCAAATTAATTCTGATTATTTGTTAAGTTTTTGAAGTCCTACCATGAAGAAAACTTTAAAGTTATAGGAAACCTGTAGATATTGTATTTATTTAAGCATGCTATTTATTTGTATCCTAAAGGACTAATACTAAGCAGACCATGGAGAATGACAGATTTTTTTTTTCCAACTGTGCATTTCCAACTTACTTAGAGATGGTAGTGCAGAGGAACTGTGGATAAAGTAATGCCATGTTGGTGAGGGCGATGGTAGGAGAGAAGTATCTTGGAGGTGATAAAATATAAACTCTTAATATTTCTGGCCTTGGAGTAAATATTTGATATTTAAATTATTTGATGAAATACAGTGGGCTCAGCTCTACGATCCTGTTGTGAATAGCTTACGCAACAGGCATGATATCAGGAGGAAATGTGAGAAAGCACAATGGCCAGATGAGATCTATAAGGTTACTTTTTAGTCCCTGAACCTCTAATTCTAGCACGTAAGAGGCTCTTTCAACTGAAAACCCTTAGCTACTTAAGAACACACTACATGTGTGAGCATTTGCGTACCATATTTTATTTGAGATCATATACCAAAGTGAATTGGGGTTTTGATGACCAATTCAGAGTTGTAATACATAACACAGTATTATTCATATTATTCTTCCTTCAGTAAAGATACATTTTAATAACTGCATACAATGTAAGAATTTTATAGCAATTGAAATTCGTTTATCTTCATATATTCACATATTCACATAGCTGCAAAGTCTTTCAGTTGCTATTATATTTCACATATTGACATTTAAAAAGTAATATGTTTATTCAGATTTAAAGGGCTAAATTCATTATAGTTTCAGCCTCTAGATTTTAGAGGAAAGGGCAGAGATAGCTGAACAACTAGGAATGTGCGCCATTGTCAAGTCGGTCAGGGGCTGGGCCTGCAAGACTGCTTTGAGAGAAGAACTCGGTTCCAGTCATTCACGGCCGGAGAAGGTGCCCTCACTGTACCTCTCCATTGGAGAGCACGGTGAGAAGGACAAAACACATGGAAAGAAGCCCTCACTAACAGGTGTATGTGAACTACCTTCGCAGGACCAGAATAAAGCAGACACAGTGAAAACAGCCAAGATGCTTACAGGATAGAGGTAAAAATGGACTGAAACAGACATTTAAAATGAAACATATTTAAAATACTCTAAGACTTCAACAAAAGAACAACATTTGATCCAGCAATCCCACTCCCAGGTATCTACTCAGAGGAAAAGAAGTCATTACACGAAAAGGATACTTGTACATGCATGTTTATAGTAGCACAATTGACAATTGCAAAATCGTAGAACCAACCCAAATGTCCATAAATCAACAAGTGGATAAAGAAACTGGTGTGTGTGTGTGTGTGTGTATTACATATGATGAATACTACTTAGCCATAATAAGGAATGAATGAATGAACAGCATTTGCAGTGACCGGGATGAGATTGGAGACAATTGTTCTAAGTGAAGTAACTCAGGAATGGAAAACCAAACATTGTATCTTCCCACTGATTTGTGGCAGTTAAGCTATAAGGATGCAAAGGCATAAGAAAGATACAATGGACTTTGGGAACTTGAGGGGAAGACTAGGAGGTGTGTGAGGGATAAAAGACAACATATATGGTGCAGTGTACACTGCTCAGGTGATGAGTGCACCAGGATCTCCCAAACACCAGTAACTTAAGTAACCAAATGCCACATGTACCCCAATATCATGAAAAAATAAGAAAGAACATCCATAAAAAAATGCAATTCTACAAACAAAACAAAACAAAAAAACAGCTGATTCAAATCATGAGACTCACCTGCGCTGTTTAAATGGCAAGGCCTGGTTCCCATCCTCCAAAGCTCCTCTACTTTCGGCCTGGAATCTAGAAATCTTCACTTCCAAACAGCAGCCAGGTTAGTAGCACATGTTACCCATGAATGACACTGGAGAAACAGAGCTTCATGCAGGGGGAAAATGAATAAAGATGCATTGCTGGACCCTTAACTTGGAGTGGGATTGGTAGGAAACTCTGTAGGCTTTGGAGGTTTTATAGCATGCTTGCTTTTCTTGAATGATTTCTGTAAGCAATATTTAACTCAGTTATTCTTCTGTCTGAACACTCTGGTCCCTCACCAAGTTTTGTTGCAGTTGTTATTTCTTCACTTATGTACTGAAGGAGAACTTCCTTTACTAAACTACTGAATGTTCCCTTTCATTCACTCTACTTTTAATAAAAATGAGTTTGAGCTATTTATGCTTTCCTACATGCAAACACATAAAGAAGATACCTGAATTCGCTACTTCTGTTAAGAACACTCTTAACGCGTCATTTTTGTAGAGTTTTGTGTGTGTGTATATATATCATATATACGTGTGTGTGTGTGCGTGTGTGTGTGTGTGTGTATGAAGTGGTTTGTTCCTGTGTCCACAAAAGGTATATTTATTTATTTATTTGAAATGGAGTTTCTTACCCAGGCTGGAGTGCAGTGGCGCGATCTCGGATCATTGCAAGCTCCGCCTCCCAGGTTCACGCCATTCTCCTGCCTCAGCCTCCTGAGTAGCTGGGACTGCAGGCGCCCGCCACCACGCCCGGCTAATTTTTTGTCTTTTTAGTAGAGACGGGGTTTCACCATGTTAGCCAGGATGGTCTCGATCTCCTGACCTCGTCATCCGCCCGCCTCGGCCTCCCAAAGTGCTGGGATTACAGGCGTGAGCCACCGTGCCTGGCCACAAAAGATCTAAACATGGGTTTGGGTGGAATTCGGTGGTTTCTTTCAACCTGAAAATACTCAAATATTTAACACACACACACACACACACACACACACACACACACACACACACTACATTTTCCTCATTTACCTGCCCTCTAGTGAGAGCTCAGAAACCAGGTATAATACTAAGTTTGATAAACTTTTTGCTTTCATTTTTCTGGGAGGGGGGAAATCTATAAAAGGAATTCAAACACCTGCATCACTTACATTATAAATACAAGTGTTTCAAAAATATACACGGTGACAATATACAAATGTTACAAAAATTTTAAATTCTGCATAGATGTTCATGTGTTTATTTTTTGAGTAGACACGTTCTTATACGTTCAAGGAGAAGGTGGTAAGGTTGAGTCACGGTGAAGTCTGCCATCTATGTTTAGTGCTAATGCAGCCACCAGCTTTTCCACAACATCAAGTGATTAAACATTCATGACTCTGATTTTCTCTCTGACATTCCACCCCATGTATTATAATTTTAGCTAACGCAGATGTTTGGTGTTCTCTCCTAGCATGCTATTTCAGTTCTGTTGGGGAACGGTGTATTTTAATAGTTACGAAATGACCAGGTTTGTGAATATTAGAATGGTTTCCCAACCTCAAAAGAGATTATACAGTTGAAATGTTTCATCGCCTTAATAATACTGAGTAACTTGGTTACTTTGTCATAAAATAACACCGTGATCTACAATGTTGTTGGTAAGGTGGAAATATCGGAAGGCTCAGGGTGGTAATCTCTGAAGATGTGCTTGTGGACATGTTGTTTGGGAATATGCTATAATTTTTACATTTAAATTTTTAAAATTTACTTTCAGGCGCGTTCTTGGGCAAGTTAACGAGAATATGGAAGCAATATTGCCATGCAGATTTCTGAAATGATATATAGCTGCATAGACACTGGTATGGAGAGGAAAAAGCCTGAAGAATGTGCTGAACAACCACGCAGGTGTTAGGAAAAAGTGAAACAATATATCATCATAGAGGGCTGATGAAGTTCCCTAATATACCTCAAATGAACATTGTGTAAAAACAGCTTGCTGAACATGCTCTTTTCCCTGGCACTATTGCTGTAAACCAGATGAGCCATAATTAAGTGCGGGTCACTGAGGAGAGAAGAACACTGGTTTTAATGATCGAGCCATTTATAAGCCAGCAAATAAGTAAATCAAATGTGTGAAGGGCAAAAAAAGAAATCTCCATGAACCCCAACAAAAACTGTGGTTCACAAAGAAGATTTTTCTTATGCCTGATTGTGAATTCTGAGAGAAATGAGTAAAGGCAGATTGAGAAGGTTTAGCCTGTCCCGTTGGGCGTGACTCTGCTCTTTAGTTGCCTTATGCATGTGCTTCAGGATATGCTACTTTGGGCTTTATTCGTGATCTAGTATATTTCCTAGGAAAGGTCTGATTTTTATATTGAGATCATATGCAGTGGATTCATTTGACCAATTTTAATTAAAGAATGTATTATTCTTTTCTCACACTGCTAATAAAGACATACTCGAGAATAGGTAATTTATAAAGGAAAGAGGTTTAGTGGACTCACAGTTCCACACGGCTGGGGAGGCCTCACAATCATGGTGGAAGGCAAAGGAGGAGCAAAGTCACATCTTACATGGTGGCAGGGAAGAGAGCTTGTGAAGGAAACTCCCCTTTATAAAACCATCAGATCTCCTGAGACTTACTACCAGAAGAACAGTCTGGGGGAAACCGTCGTCATGATTCACTTGTCTCCACCTGGCTCCACACTTGACACGTGGGGATTATTACAATTCAAGGTGACAGTTGTGTGGGGACACAGCCAAACCATATCAGAGAACATAAACCGAATGTTATATTACTTCAGGTAAAAAATAAGTGAAGTTGACAATATCTGATTTTACTCTTTCTACAATCTAATATATTAAGACTCAGGAAATAGTATCCAGAGGAAATAATTAGTCATTTTAATGTTGCATTCAAAGGCTTGGTAGAATTTACCATAATTAGCCCTACAAGCTCGTATTTACTTATAAATATTTTGCCTAAATCTTTCTAGTGTCATTTTCTGAGGTAATTATGGCTGACGATCAATACAAAACAAAGAGAAACAGGTCCAATCTTGTTTGAGTTCGTTTGAACCATCTTGAAATGGACGGCAACAGCCATGTCCACATTCCAACAGTAGATTTGTCTGCCATGGTTTCCATCAAATGACTCTTAAATCTCAGAACAGAGGGTTCTTATTTGTGTTCTTGAAAGTAAAACTTAAAATGCATACGTTTTTATAAATGACCTTCATAGGGGAAATAGTATGCTGTTAAGCTCCTCGGTGTCACTCGGGGCAAATGACTTTTCTCAAACTTAGCTACTTGCAAAATGAAGTTACATGGAAAATGAAAGGATGACATAGATGATGTCTGCATTCTTTTGCAACTGGAAAATTTCATGTTTCTTCAAACTTGATTCACTGAAAATATGTTCTGGAGAATATTTCCACTTTCTATTCTTTAAAGATTTTTTTGAGTTGAAAAGGAAATATTTATACTGGTGTTCTCATTTTCTGTGGATCTACAGACATATTTATTGCTGTTTGTGAATTATCTGAGAACATTCTAAATGTTGAATTTTAATTTTTATGATGGCATAGATAGTTCTATTTTCTAAATCACCTGGAAGAACCCTCATGAGCAGGTGAGTTCATTTCCATTTAGAACCTTATGTTGGTGCTTACAATTGCATTAGCTCTAAGTGGGGCTTGCTTATTCATCCCAGGCAATGAGAACCTAAGTGGACTTAATATAAAAATGATATTCTGAGTTGGGGCCACAGGCCAGTCCACCTCATTCTCTAATTTACAAAGTATTCCAGCAGTAGAAGGAGAGTGGCTAACACTGAATAATTGTAGACCACACTGGGACACAATGAACTTAAACGATCAGCATTGCATTAGTCAATTCCATACCCGTGTTTCAAGCCACTCATTTTTTTTTCTGAAAAAAAAAAAAAAATAGCATAAAGGCAATGTTACCTTGAATGTCAGTGTTTCTACAGTTTGGTTTCTGTAGTGCGTAATCCACATACAAGTCCTGTCGTATATAATGACCAGGGTCCTGGACATCTCCTTGGCCTGGTGTGTTGCTCTGCTCCTTTTGAGATGCTGGATTCCAAGTGCACAAAATAAGTGGCAATTTCACATCTTCTCAAGTGGGTCTTGCTCAACCTAGAAGGCCTTTTTCTTTTCCATGTCTGGCTAATTCCTCCTAAGGATTCAAGTCTCCTCTTGGAAGACATCTTGCCTGGGAAGCCTTTCCTATAAACCTCCCTCATCTCCTTTCTCACTCCCACAACAAGTTGAAGTCTCTTTCAGGATTTTTGCATAAAACATGCATTTTAAAGCCAAACTGACCGGCCACTTTCTACCTCCATGAATCTCACAATTTAAGTTCTGTCAATTTTCTTCCTAATCTATAAATTTGGCACAGTAATAGCTATGGAACTCTGCTTTTTAGACATTATTTTAAGTAACTCTTCTTACCTTACTTGGTATAACAGCCAGCATGGGCTATGAGACGAGAAGAGAGGAGAACAAGACGAATAAGGAGATGCCTCAAATTTTCATTGAATGTTTTTATATAGCTGGAGAAACATTTAGCATTGAAAAATCTCTTGTTAGGAAAGATACGTTCTAATGTTTACTTCTTAGAAAGACAGGATGTAGATGGAGCTTTAGGTATCAGGTGAAACTTGGTACATTTTATTAACTCCTAGAAGTCATTTGTTCTTTCCCTAATTTTTTTTTTTTTTAGAGATGGGACCTTGCTATGTTGCCCGGACTGGTCTCGAACCCCTGGGCTCAGGCGATCCTCTGGCTTCAGACTCCTGAAGTTCTGGAATTACTGGTCTGAGCCAGGCAGATTTGTTCTTTGATAGAGGTAGCCAAGACAGAACTTTAATTTCGATTAAGCAGAGAGGCAAAATTATTAAAAGAAGCTTTAAACGATGACTTGCAGAAAGCAAGTATGTGTCAAGGAAGGCGGTCCTGTAAGCACGGCCCACCTTAGAATGCACATCCTTTCCCCTCCATCCACCGGAACTAGAGCCACTGGCAGATAGTGTCTCCACAGCTAAGGAAAGCAAAGTCATCTTGCTAAAGTAACTAGATGCTGGGAATTTAAAAATAACCTACTTAAATTCAATCAGCTGCCACTGGATTTAGAGAAGAGCAAATGTGACTTTTGGTCAGCAGGAGAAGTGGACAACCTTGACATCAGTGATGAAAAATACACCTTTGTTCTAGTAAATTTCATGAGTCAACTCGCAATTCTCTAGCCCATTGCCCAGGTCAGTTTTGTTCTGCTTTTTCTCATTGTAAGCGTGGAAGTGTTAATTGAATAAATGTGGAATCAGGACATTAGCCTCCATTCCTACCTCCTTCAGGCTGAGAGCTCACTGCTGCGGTGATCTTACCTTTATGTGTGGTTTGTAGCAGGCAAAGAGTATCATGTGGTTTGGTGAATCAAGGTTGGTTGATGAGATATAGTAAATCAGAGCATATCATAGCTGTGCATTTCATTTATAACACTATTTTGATTTTTCTCCATTTCTTGGTTCACAGTTTGTGTGCCCCTCAGGTGTGTCAGCCTGTTAGACCTCAAGTAGACAGCACAGTCACCTGCAGTTGGCGTCCCCTAGAGTGAGGCTTCCAGTTGTTGAGACTTAGGCTTCAGGCAGGTGCCTGGACGCTTGACAGAGCCTTGCAATTGTACAGCAAAAAGAAGAGAAGGCTTGTAACAATAAGGACCATCAAGATTTGATGATTTGGACTGAAGTTTGGGATGAATCTGACGTAGCAGCCAGTGGTGGCTCATAAGTCATGTTTCAGGGCTGAGAGATTCTTATTTGAAATAAGCTAAAACTAAGCCTCTTTAGTCAAGGAAAAGACAAGATTCCAGGGCTCAGGGACCAAAGCTATTACTTTGGATCCCTTAAGTCTACAGCATACATTTGTTTTGTTAAAGTTTGGCAGTATAAAGGTCATAGCACAACCTTTTTGCTAATATATTTTGGCTCCCTGTCTTTTCTTAAAGGTAACATTACATAGTTAAAAAGTAACCTAAACTTAAAAAAAAAAAAAAAAGGTCATATCATATTTTAATTTTAAGCAATTGAGACAAATAAATATCTTAATGGAGGAAAGATTCATTTGGGCATTTGAAAAATGTCAAATAAATGATCTTGTAACTGATGATTGTATTTATAGGTATGATAGAAATTGGCCACATTTCAAAATTTACCATTTAGCCAAATATTATGAAGGTATGCAATTGTGAAATTTCAGGGAGACGTAACAGCTTTCTAAGACAATTTGGTTGCTAAATGTTGAAGCCTTCTATGTCACCTAATATAAAAAAGCATGGTATAGAGTAGAAAGGCTGTTGAAAGGGAAAAAGAAGGTAGATTCTAGATAGAGCTCTCCATTTTCTACCTATATAACCTGAGACATATCACTAGTTGTAAATCTGACTTTTCTCTATCATTAAAGTAGAGGTGATAATATTTCCTCTGCCTACCACAAAAGGATGCTTTAAGAAAAATGTAAAATACGATAACACCTACATCTTATACTCAATTCTGTGGAGGTCTTAGAGTGTAGAAAAATAGCTTTCCACTGCTGCAAAAATTGTTTTTGAAAACCACTGGTCTGTACCAAATACCACAAGACAATTAGCAAACAAGCCCTTCTTATAGTCATTCTGATTAAAATCTTCACTTAGTTCTCTGATGAAATTACACCAAAAGCACATATGCAAGCTCTGTATTCGGATTCAGACTGAATTTTACTTATCTTCAAACTTCAGCTCATTTTGTAATTTGAGCATTTCATGAGTCATGTTAATAATTTCTAACTAAATTAGCAAGAATGTAAGATTTCGGCTTGTGTGGACAGTTGGATTTTCAATTTTTCAGTTTGTCCTGTTTTTGCATATGGTGCAATTCAAGAGTATTCTGAGGGCACTGTCTGGTTAAGGAACAATAGCTGTGATATCACAGGGAGAAAGGCTTATGACTCAATCAGAGCAACAGACATGTAGATGAACTAAGAGCATGTTCGTACCTTAAAAGCTTATTGATTTAACTGGGTCTTGGAAGAATAAATGGGTTAAGGGATTGAAAGAAAGTCACATTCGTAGTTTATTTTCTACAATTTTAACTCACGGTCTTCCTAAAGACGAAGATCAAATTCTCCTGGTATAAAATTCACTTAAGCGGATATGTACGCAAAAGAGTCTCTCTCTCTCTCTCTCTCTCCCCCTCCCTCTCCCCCTCTCCCCTCCCTCCCCCACCCCCAACACACCCACGCACACACACATGCATACACACACACAGATGCACACATGTGCACACACACACTTTTATTTGTGATACAACTCTCAAAATCTTTGCAGATACAACTTATTAAGCTACCTTTTTGTGGAAAGAAATATGAAGATACTTCAGCAAATGATCAGAAAGGCCTAATATTCTGATTTTTAAAAATACAGAATCACTTACAGTTCTGTGACCTGCAACGTTCTTTAAACACTTGTAGCGTAGTACACTTGGGTGGATTCCATGACTTCGCTGCTGTGGCCTCACACTCTTACAAAGGCATCCACAGAACATGCCTTTGCTCCTGGTTATATCTACCTTCCCCTTAGACATGAAGAGATAGTCAAGAGCACTTAGTATGCATTGTGAATTTCTTATATACATTTTCCCAGCACAATGCCATATCCAGAGATCATATGCAGTAAATATGTTTTAAAAACCGAAAAGGTCTTCTCTCTTTAATACTTCTAACTGGTAGTTAGCCAAGCATTCACTTTTCCTGGGCCACTGGTTTGTTTTTGCCTGGTGTATTTTGGAGTATGTTGTAACTAATCTGTTTTTTTCCTCTTTATGCATATAGTAAAATAAGTGACGCATGTTTGCCAGTGTAGTGCTTCCCGTGTATAAATTCTTCTGTGCCTCCATTTTATTTTTGTGCTCCTATTTTATCCTTGTTTATTTAACTTTTTATTTTTTTCTTATCATGGATTAACTTTGGAAATTACCTCTGATCTGTTTTTTTTTGTTTCTTTGAACGAGAGAAGATATAATATCTGTTTAAGTGATTATAGATTTTATTTAGAGTTACTAAAACTTTATCCAATACAACTTGGCAATACATGCTTGCTAGGCACTCAGAATTGAGTTACGTGCTACAGGAGATAGAAGGGATGTTTGTAGTAATAGGAGTCATTGCAATTGCATACTGATGTGAAATTACACTCCTCCTTTCATTGCTTTTGCACTAGAAGACTCAGAGCAGATGGCCAATATCTACATTCTCTTTGGCGAACTTTAATAATAGGCAACAGGGAAGTATTTCTGTTGAGACAGCCTTATCCTGTAATGTCATTGGTAAATTATAATTTAGTCTCCTTTAGTCTTGCAATTTCCTTCTTCTTCATAGATGTGGTATAAGCTCTTGTGTGTGTTTGGCTAAAATATTTAAGTAATGTTACCTATTTTAAATGATAATGTCTTAGATGTCCCAAGAAATCAAAGAGCAGAGAGTATCGATTATATTATGTAGTTTTGTCCTATGCTATAGACTGAATAATTTTATAGTTGCTGCTGCTGCTGTTTAGAGAGGGCCAAGGTGAGATTACCCCAAATCGTGGATGTCTGTTTCATTTTAAGCATGATGTAATTTCCAAGTATTTCTAACTCAAGATTAATAAGTTAGGAGTAAAGCTAAAACTTGAACACCGATCCCAGTTGTCACACCAAGTGCTAAAATCATTCATCTTTCCTGCCTTGGAGAAAAAGTAACTTCTGAGGGGTCAAAGAATAGGAGAAAAATGGTCAAAGGTGTCTCTGGTCTAGATAATTAGAGGAAATAATAAAATGAAAACTTTAAGTATCCTGGAGCCCTTGTCCTCAGCCACAAGCACCCTCCATTACAAGAGAGTTGAATGTTACCTAACTAAACTCACTTTCAAATTAGTATTTGAGGAAAAGATTGAGGTCCAGCCAGGTTTTACAATCCAGCCAGAATGACATGTTGAGAGAGGTGGAGATGGCCTCAGGCCCTCAGTCTCAATCCCCTTGGATTTCTACAGCGGGACATTGTATCCAGAGCTTACCACTGACTTGTCTCCTTTGAATTTTGATAAGAATTCTGTTAATTTATTTTTATATCTAAAATATAATTATAAATAATACGACATTTCTGACTAGCACTCATACGAGGCAAATTAGAAAAAAAATTCAAAATTGCAATGAAGATTTCACTTACCATTTTTTTCTTTTAAATTTGATTCCTGCTGAAGATTGAAATGAAATCAGTCAAGAACAATAACGAAAAGCACGCTCAAGCCCAAAGACTGAAAGTTTTCTGTAACTGGATTTTAATTCAGTTTAGACAATAATGTCATGAGGCTATCAGAGCAGGGATGGATTATATCAAGGATCGGCAAGCCTTGCTTTAAAGGGCCAGATACTGTGTGGGTCATACTCCCTGATGTAACTGTTCAACTCGGCTGTGGGGTCAGGTAAGCAGCCGCAGATCGTATGGAAATAGATGGGCATGGCTGCTTTCCAGTAAAACTGGATTTATGGTCACTGAAATTTAAATTATGTGTATCTTTCATGTGCTATGAAATATTATTATTCTTTGGATGTATATTTAGTCATTTCAAAATATAAAAATCATTCTTAGCAAATGAGCTGTCCAGATAAATTAGCAGGCCATATTTGATTGTTAACCATAGTTGACCAGCATGGAGAGTTTGGAGTAGAAAAACCTCCAGGTCCTTTCTAATGCTGAAGATTTCTAGTTGTAGTACTTTCGTATTCACACATGCCAGCACATGGACCATGAACAATCTGGATATGATAATAAGAATGTAATATTCCGTTATTTTATACTAATGTGAACTACTGAAATTCCAAATGATATCTAGTCAGTATGAAGAGCGTAGTTTGAAAACACTGAGGAAGAAAAGCCCCTCCCTTGTTACGTCTTGACTGAATACACAGACTCATCACCTGTCTGCCTGTCAGTGCATGTAACCTCAGAACACTCCAATGTAGGTCGCTGCTCGGGATGACCTCCCTGTGAAGGCACAGACTGGTTTTGTGGAAGAATTAGCATTTTAACGGGGTTGAGATGATAGCACATTATAGTTCTGATTTGCATTTTCTTGATAATTCATGACGTTGAGCCTTTTTAAAAAAATTACATGGCCATTTCATATCTTGAGAAAGGTCTCTTCCAGTCATTTGAACCGTGTTTCAGTAATTATTTTGGTACTTTTTGTTTTTGTTTTCTGTGATTTCCTCATATATTTTAGATATTAGTGCTTTGTCCGATGAGTGATTTGCATATATTTCCCCCATTCTGCATGTTGTCTCTTCACTTTGTCACTGTTTCCTTTGCTATATAAAAGCTTTGTAGTTTGATGTAATTCCAGTTATCTATTTTTTCTCTTCTTTATCCTGATTTGATCACTATACATTGTATCCATGTATGAAAATACTCTATTGCATAAGTGTGTATAATTACATGTCAAAAATAACAAAATTGGAAACCAAGCAAGGAAAAGATTTATATGTTACCTTCTAGGGTGTTCAAACATCGTTAATCCTCATAGAAAGCATAAGTTCCTATCTAATTTTCATGTCCATTTCACCTCCAAACCGCAATAGCTGCTAATATATGTTAGCGTTGGTCATCAATGCGATGTCTTGCATGTAAGTGGAAATCTGTTTCCACTGTTTTCTGCTTCTTGAATCCGAAATTACTGACAGGTTTAGCTCCCCTTGGCTGCCCCATCATTTCTCCTCTTTCTAAGCCCCAACCACAGACTGACTTAATCACAGAATTCTGAGCTTGATGTTATGGTGTGATGCTGCCTTAGAAAGAATGAAACATTGGCTAGCCATTTGTTTTCTTCAGTCCGAAAATTCCTTAATCTTTGCACATTGGAACAGAGACCAGCTGACCACAACCTGTTGCATAGTGCCTGTTCTTGTCCATGACGTATTTGAGTTGTCCTTATCGCTAGGTAAATATTTTTAAAGGTTCTCAAAGATCCTTTTTAAAGATCAGCTGCTATATATCATATGCTAATGTATATTTCTTGCTGGTAAACATGTTTTTATCTACAACGGTGAAATGTGAATGGCAACTTTTATATTCTTTTGCTCAATGATGGATATGCCTTTTTATTTTTAGGAAACATTTTTAATATCTTTGTGTTTATTGATTCAATTCTTGAGTGCTTTTAAACAAACCTTCCTTTGAGCATAGCGGTAGTGTAACTCATAACCCAGCGAGTCATTGTCATATATATACTTATATATGTATATATTTATATTCTTATATACCTATTTATTTATATATATTTCTGACAATCATTTTTATGAAAATGAAAAAATAGATTGAGAGATAGAGGTAGACATTTGTAAAAGAATGCATCTTTGAGCAGTTCAGTTTTAAAATATTCCTGCCTTTGCTCAACAGAAGATAGTAGGTACTCTCTGAGCTTGAGCGTATGGGAGTATGAAAAATAATGTACCAAACCTGAAAGATGTAAAGCTGATTTGAAGGCCACGTCTGAAATGTTTTGTTAAACTAGACACATGACAGAATGAACAATTGAATGAACACGTGTAAAGATGATTGTGTCAGAGGCACCTTTGGGAAAACAGAGGAAAGTCTCCATGGAGACGGTTACAGAGAAATCTGAAAATATATGAAAAAGCAGATTAACAAGGCATTTCTCAGTTGCTAATGATCAGTGTGTTTTTGAATAGGCCTTTTACTCGAGGTGCTGGTATACCGTGTTAAGCCAGAGTATGTGTGTGCGCACACGCACATACACACACCTATTTGTATACATTCACAATTTCACAACCACAGTGCTTGTGGTATTATTGGCAATGGCTTTACTAGAATTTATTGTATATATGAAAATACTTATTATAATTTTTAAAACACTTCTCTTGGCAGTATTTAAAAGTAAATAAGCCTTAAAAATTAGTTATTGAGTTGACCAGGGCCATATGCTACAGGAGATGTACGAGAAAAACAAATTGAAGTGGTAGTGTCTCATCAGAACTGTTCCACATATTTCTAATACGGAACGTGTAGGATGAGAAAGATGAGCCCCAGTGCACACATCAAGATGATATTTCCTTATGGACCTAGTCGAAGCTCCCCTGGTGAAAAGAAAAAGCTGCAAAGGTCAGATCACCAGACACAGACTTTGTCTCCTAGGAGATGACCACATGCTCTAGTGCACATAGTCTGCTTTTTGGGTTAGTTTCTATTAGATAAAAATATACTTTATTCCAGCTCTATTGATATATAATTGACAAGTAACATTGTATATAACTTGTACAATTTGATATTTGATATGCATTGTGAATCATGTACGCATGTACATCACCATGATCAAGCTAAGTAACATATTCATCACCACACATAGTGACCATTTTTAATAATTTTTTTATGGTTACAACACTTAAGGTCAGCTCTCTTAGCAAGAGAATATTAAATTCAGTCACACTGTTCTATATTAGATCTCCGGAATGTATTCATTCTCTTACTAAAATTTTGTACCCTTTGGCCAATATCTCTCTATATTCACTTCCCCACAACCACTGGCAACCTCCATCCTCCTGTCTGTGTCTTTGTATTTGATTATCATATGTGCTTTTTATGCTCTAACAAAGCAAGCTGAAGCACTCCTTGTATTTTACCAAATACATTGCCCATTTCATGTGGCATCTGTTTTTATGTTTTGGAGAGTTATAAAATACCCCATATCCCTTGGTCACTGAGATACCATGTGATGTTGAAGGCAACTTAAAATGTTGAAATGTTGAATATGAGGGTTGGAGGAGGCACAAGTCAGGTGCACTGCAATCTACGCTACAGCTTGGAATTCTCTACCTGACATCTACCTGTCAGAGTCTGAAACTTACAGATCAGTGTGCAGCATATCTTGGAATTCTCTAAAACATAAGTCCTTTGCTTCTCCTGATATGTCACATGGGTGGCCTTTGGTGTATCTAGGGTGACTCACTTCCTGCTTTTTCTTTGCGATGTTGTGGCAGGAACGAACCACCTTTCCAAGTCCCTTGAGCTTGTATTATTTTTCTTTTTAACACGTCTTCTGCAAGCCTGTCTACTGCGGAATGTTCTCCCTTTGCTAACCTCCTGGGAATCATTGGCTCTATCGCTGGGCAGCCAGTTCATGTTTAGCATCACATGTGATGAAAATAAATAAAGAATGTCTGCATGTGAATCATATTACCATCTTTTTTTTCCCAGTAACCTTATGGGGAAGTGTCCATCTGAGAGGATCACTTACTGGGCAAATGTCATACATCAGGAAAATGTCAGAGTTCGGAATGAAACCTACCCTGGCTGATTTAGTCCTGTGCTTTTTCTGCCAGTTTATTGTCTGCTGTTGGGATAGCCAGAATAGTTTTCAACAGTTCAGAAAGTGATTAACCTATTCACACA
Organism: Homo sapiens; assembly: GCF_000001405.40. NCBI lineage: Eukaryota > Metazoa > Chordata > Mammalia > Primates > Hominidae > Homo > Homo sapiens. The sequence continues at coordinate 4,342,395 of NC_000008.11, read as the reverse complement.
TTTATACTATAATAAACATATGTGATAGCTGTAGAATGTATACACATATTTTTCTGTGTGTGTAATACCTATGTTTTACATACATTGCACACCTTTGAATCTTGGCTTGTGGTTTAAATATCCCTCTACACACACACATACAGAGACACACACACACACACAGACACACACACACACACACACACACACAGACACAGCACTGCTGCCAAGTTTGCATAAGGGAAGTAAGAATGTGGCTTGGTAGACAGTCTTAGATTGGCTTCTTGTCTTGTTAGAGATTGTGGAGTTACCATGGAAACATAGAGATGGCTTGCGCTACTTGAACTGCAGGATCTTCAGGATGCTCCAAATTCATATCAAGAATTTGTATCTTGAGACCAAGTCTTAAAATGACTGCATGGTGGAAATAAGGCCACTTTCGTCTCTTGAACCAGGGTAATATGTGTCAGTCCATTGGACAAAGCATAGTACTAATTCTAAGTACAGATAATGAGTAATCAGAAAGTTAGTGGTGTGGAAGGTTAACATCAGCTGTGGCTGCTGGGTGAAGCATCCTTCTGTTATTATGCAGATGTGCTCGTTAAGTCATGTGAACAAATTAATGGGCACTGAAATCTGCACAATATTATTGACCATTATTAATGCACCCTAACTGCCTAATTCTAATTTGTTGAAAAAACATATTGACTAATCTTAGGTTTCCATTTATCTTGACTGCGTCGCTTTGCTGAAAGATGCTTTTAGAACACAAGAGCATATCCTAAACATTTTTCCGTAAGTTACAGTTTCACTGGACAAACAGGGAACCACAGAACGTTAGTATTTCTTCTCAAAATCACACTGTAGGAAAAATAATGTTTCCATGGGTTTGCTTCCTAGAAAGGGCCACATTCATGATATGCAGAGTAGTCTGTCCTTTGATCACAGAGAATACTGCTTCTTAACCACAATGAGGTAAACTTATCTTCAAACATTTTCCTCTACATTTTGAGTTCAAGGCTTTCTTCAGTACTAAATTATTTCCTGCGATAGTGAATATGAATCTCAGAATTCAATGTGAAAAACTTTTACCTAGTGATATGATTGATTGCTTAATATATTTGAGCCTGAAATATGCCCATATGACATACAACTGCCTTCTGAAAAATACTGGAAAACAGTTATGTAATTGCTAGTACCATGGAAACTTGCCTTCATTGCAGATTTGAATCCCCAAATATAGATGATCAACGCCTACTAATTCAAAATGCTTGGATAGGCCTTGTTACCTAGGCAACGATGTATTGGAAATGAGATATCTCTATTCTCTCACTATTCTTTCCCAAGTTTTACCTTTTACGTTGATTTAGAGTATAGATTCTAAAGTTGAATATGTAATTTTCTGAAAAAATAGGATGACTGTGATAATTTTTAAATCCATCAGCTTGAAATAAACCCGCAGAGTACAGACTACATTCTCTCAGGCCTAGAAATCTCTCCGCTTGAGTTCCCACTTTAAATTGTAGGTAATATTCATTAATAGTTAATATCAAAAATAGTACAGTGTAATTAGCAACCAAATAATTGAGATTCTAGAAGTGGGTAAGCAGCATAGTTAACTCTCTAGAAGCAACCATTATGAGTTTGCTTGACAGTTTTGCAGAGTTTGCTGAAAATAAATTTTCAGTTTGTTCCACGTGCTGATATTTTGTTTAAAATGTACTTCTAATAAACTCCAGCCTACTCTCTAGGTTAATATAATTCACGACCAAGCTCCACTTGGCTCATTGGCAGAGGAGGCGCAGCCAAGCAAGAGTACTGTGAAGAAATCAGCAGGGTGGGTTTTGTCCCTGAATTGCCCTTGGACAATCCTGCTTTGATTCATCTGACATATAATAAAGTCTAACCATGACATTGGGGACTCGACCATGAGGAGTTCATCACCCCTAGACAGACCCATAATTCCTTCAAGGAATGCGCAGCTTAATTGAGGAGTTTATTTGGCCAATGGTAAAGCAAACTCATGTCAAGAGTGTTATTTTCTACATTTTTAACTAGGGTGTAGCAGCCCCTCAAACCTCATCCCAGCCAATGTAAGGGTTTGGATGGAGATGCCTTGCAAACACAGATGACTAGTCTCAAGGAAAAAGGACAAATCTTCCAGGCTTCAGTGAGAGGAAAAGGGGAGAAGGCATAGCAAGCTCTTCTTGGCGAAGGTGTCATTAGTTTTTTGGATCAGAAAAAAAAGGTATCAAGAAAATAGAACATGTTAAATGAGAGCCCTGAAAGAGGAGAGATTAACAAAACTTCTAAGGTTAACTCTAATTTCTCTAATACTTACGTTACCAGAGTCAGTCCTAAAACATACGGTATGCTGCTCAACATAATTTTCGCTAGAAGTGCCTGGTTCTGTTGTCCAGGCTGGACTGCAGTGTTGCTATCACCGCTCACTGAACCTCCAACTTATGAACTCAAGTGATCCTCTTGCCTCAGGCCCCTTAGGAGCCAGGACTACTGGTGCGTGCCACCATGCCAGAATAATTTTTTTAAGTTTTTGTAGAGATGAGGTCTTACTTTGTTGCCCAGGCTGATCTTAAACTCCTGGCCTCAAGTGGTTCTCCCACCTCATTCTCCCAAAGCATTAGGATTTTTGGTGTAAGCCCCTGCACTCAGCTTTTTCTACTTCGTATACCGTCCTCTTTCATTTTCTTCTCACTCACTCAAACCTGGAAACTGTTTGGCCATCCAAACATAACATATTGAATCATCTGATGAATGTTTTCCTATGTGGGCAGGTAATCATTGAGCGATTTCCCACCTGTTCTTTGCACGATGAAATAAACAACCGAAAGTTATTTATGAAAGATTCAGTAGTCTTTAGAAATGTAGGACTGAAATTGAAGTCTTATAAATTTAAACTCTTTGTCACTCAGCTCCAGTATCTCATTTCGCGGTAGCTTTGTACAGCTGATTCAAACACCAGCCTCTCATTTACATGAAAGAGAGCCTGGACTGAGATTAGCACAGGGCATGACAAGATAAAAAATAGATTCATTATTTGACCAGCTGATGAATCTGCCAGCATAGCTTGTGAATTTAAATCACAAAATGGTAAGAACTGAAAGGGTTTGAAGTAGTTATCAACTTCCTACTTTTGTCTCTGGCCAAGACCATAACTAGATTATTTCCTATGGCTTATTGCCTGGGGTATACTTGCAGATCTCCTTTGAAGGAGATAAAGCCTGGCTCAAGAATTTATTTTCATAGCTGATAGCATTTGTAGTTGGAATATATTTCTGCCTCAGAGATGAGCTCTTTTGTCTAGACTCAGAATCCATGCCTCTACTACCCAAGCAATAGTTCCCGGTAGATTTGAGGCTCTACAGCAATTGAGCCTCACAGAAAAGCCTTGCTTTTCACAGAATCTCAAAGCATTTTCTGATCATTGACTGTATGCCCAGACCTATGTTCAGATACGCTTACCCTTACTTTAACTTTATTTATCATGCCTCTGTTGTCAGTTCTAGTAAAAGGTTCTCTTCTAAACCTTCCATAATTTCTTCTTTCAAAAAGTAATATAAAGCTGAATATTAAGGCAACACAAGAGTAATTGCAACATTAAACTAATATCAATATGATTCATTTGGGTTCAAGGAGAATTTAATATTCGCTTATGAATTAGGCGAAAAAAATCTGAGTTAAAAAAATACTTGTAGAACCGGAACTATGGAATTGTGGCTTCTATTTCTGACTCACCCGTGAGCACATTTTATGACAGCTAAATTTATGGACCTAATTTAAAGATTTAATTGCTGTGTTTCTATTATGAGTATGTCAGAGGTGTTATCAAACCCAGAAATTAGTTTTGAAAATAGAGTAAACTAGAAAAAGCCGAAGAACTTTGAAGGTACAAAGTACAATATCCCGAGGTAGATTTGCCATGAACCTAACCAGGTGTAAACGTCCAGGTTTCTTGTTTGCATGGCTCTGATGAGGTCTTGATTCATCCACACTAGTATGTACTTTTACGTAATTTGCAAACATAAGATATTTTTGTATGTTTCCTTAAGAGAGCCCTGGAACAGATCACATACGAGGTAAATGTGTAACTAACTATATTCAACTACTGCATTGAACTCTTGCACTTACTCAACTATGGAATATTGCAACTATTCTAACTTAATATTAGAAATATGCAAGAACTATGACATGCATCTCTAATCTAACTCTTGCATTAGTACCAATATTTTTGTAATTCTCTACTACCATGCTTTGGAATAAAAATCATAGTAATTCTCAAATTAATTGTACACCAAAGTTACACATAAAAGTGCATGTATTAAAAAGAGTATGATGGGGCTTTATTGAAGCAGATTCTTGGAATAAATCTTTGCATTTCCACTCAGAACACCTCTATTTGGGAATACAGACATTTTACAGTTGACAAAACTGATATTTAAAAAGGTTGAGAAATGCGATATCATTAAATGATAAACGATTTGTTCAGTGATGGGGTCATTTTGTCTTAAGCTGAAGAAAATGCCTATTTTTACTCTTAAAGTCTTTACGAAGGAACAAGAAGTTTTATAATTACCTGATTTATTCTACTGATTAAAAATTTATCAGAGCTGTGTGATTAAAATAACTCCAGCCCAATGTAAAGGCTGTACTACTAATCCATTCTATGTCAATGGCAAATACTTGAGTGTACTCTTTTAAAAGTTGGCATGCTTAAAGAAAAAATTGTCTGTGAGAATAATCTGCTGTAAGTCAACGGAATAGTTCAGCATGACACTTGTCTAAAATATTTACTGTCCACAGAATTTTGAGTTTGAAGAATTGATATGCCTCACATGTACTTCATCGCTGAGTTTATTTTTAAAAATAATGTTACGATCTGAGTATTAATTATCCTTAGAATATAAGAAAAAGCAAAGCAGAGATCCCATCACAGTGTGGTTTGCAAAGACATTTAGATTTAACAGAGAAGGCTAAGATAGAAAAGCAGTCTGAAACAAAATACCTGTTTACTGAAGAAGGGCAGAAATGACTTAGGTGGAAGTTTGCAACAATGTCGGTTGCTGGGGTAACTGGGAGAAATTTTGATCTTCATGGCAGAGAAAAATGTCAAGCAGAAATTAAGCATTTAGTTGCCATGATGCTATGTTTTATCAGGCAGTGGAGTTTTTGCCTCCTGGGTAAAGATTGAAAGTCTCCCCTTTTGAGATAACACTGTTGCAAACAGAGGTATAGATAGAGTAGTAATGAAGGTGGGGGCAGAAGATCCCACTTAAATGCTTCGGTCTCCTGTACGTGGCCGCAACGTTGGCAACCCTCTGGGACAGTGAAACAGATGCAGAATGCAATGTGTGGGCAAAATTCAGTTTATAATTGCAGATTTAGTAAGCAGGCCAGTCAGCCATTCTGGGAAGAAAACACGGCAAATCCTGAGGGTTTGCTCCATTTCAACATTGTAGCCTACAGAATTTCTGTATTGTTATTATTTATTATGGAAATTAGGCAATCCCATTCCCGTATGTTTTTAACAGAATTGATTATTGGAAATAAATCTCAACCCCATCTTCATTCCATCTCTAGTTACTGAGAGCCTGCCTTTCATCCAGGCGGCATCTCCCTCTGGGCCCAGCTTTGCCCATTGTGGATCCAGTCACCAAGTAACTCAGAGTAATTGGATCCTAGAAAGAATACACAGCCTCATCTCTACTTTGTCTTCGAAGGACTATGTCACAGATGTGAAAGCTGTGAAGTGAAGCATGCTCATGTGCTCATTTGTGCAACACAACAAATGCACTTTGTGTGTGTAAAATAAATTCATGCTTCACCAGGCCACTGGAAACCATCTAGAAAACAAGCAGCATGACATTCATCGAACACGTTATTGGCCAGGCACCATGTAGTTGTATCTGTGTTTCCGTGTCTGAAGGCTCAAACATCTACACATAGCACAGATGCTGACATTAACTGACCGGGGGCCTTAGGGTCATTCCATCAGGAGTGGCCATGGGTCACGCCTAGTCAGGCACAGTTGCCTGTTAATGACCCAGTTGCTCCCTGCTTCCTAACTAAAAATGTGCCTTTCTACAGAGGCTACGTGGCATTAAAAGTAAAGCTTCTGACATAAAATACTGTCTATTTTTGGACGAGCAAGACCTTTAAAGGGTCTTGAACCTACAGGTGCATTCATACTACCTGCATTCCCTGAGTCAACCAGCGCTGACCGCAAACCAGGAGTATGATTATTCAGGGTAGAGCTTAAAGTGAGAAGTTTATACAGAACAGGAAAAATACTTACACTATTTCTCATCAATTAGTGGATTGTCTTGTGGAACTTAATCATTATTGAAGACAGGGAGGAAGTTTGGAAATCTAGAAGTAAGTGTACCAAATCTTAACTTGACAGTGAGCGGGGCTGACCCTATAGTCTCATGTATCTGTGAGAGCCTCCCTGTGCTTATCCTCCAATATGGGGCTCCCTCACTATTTTTGATCATATTGCAGGAAGCCCTGGAGGTTCTCCACTTTCTCGTCCCCCTGTTCTCCCCAGCTTAGATACCCCAATCAACCCCTGGGCTGAGTAATGTTGTATCTTCCATGGGATCACAGGTAACGTGGTATGTTCCTCTTCAGGTATTGATGACTCTATCTTGTTGCCGTGAGCCCTATTAAGGTACACTATTTGTTATTTTTGAGAAACACTATATTCTGTAACAATTTTGCACAATATACTTCATGCTCCCAGCAACTTTTCATTTTATTAAATATTTGAATAAATACATGAATCAATGATAATCATAGAGTAGTTTTAAGGAAAAGTTAGCTAAGACTGATAGTGACAGGTTTTAAGCTAATTTAGATGTTGGTGCTGATGTTCTTACATGGCAGGTGATGACTTCGTTTGTTCAGGACATTTGTATTCTGGAGTCCATATAAATTCCCTGATTTAAATAAATGATTCTAGTAACGAGTTTCTGGTGTGTTTCAGAAAGAGATGGTGCAATGTTAATGTATTCAGAAGATGTGTATATCCAGATTCCTATAGATTGAATGTTTGTGCCTTTCCCCACAAAAGTCCGAGGTTGAAATCCTCACCCTCCCGGTTATGGTAGTAGGACATAGGGCATTTGGGAGGTGGTTAGGTCATAAGGGTGAAGTGTTCACAAATGGGATCAGTATCCATAGAAAAGAGAGCCCAGGCCAGCCATGGTGGCTCACACCTGTAATCCCAGCACCTTGGGAGGCTGTGAGGAGGGTGAATCACTTGAGTCCAGAAGTTGAAGATCAATCTGGGCAACATTGTGTGGCTCTGTCTCTACACAAAGTACAAAAATTAGTCAGATATGGTGGTGTGCATCTGTGGTCCCAGCTACTAAGGAGGCTAAAACAAGATCACTTAGGCAACGGAGCTTAAAGACAAGCCTGGAGGACACTGGTTTTACTGTCATGTGAGGATGTAGCAAAAATACAGCATCTGTGGGGGTAGAAAGTGGGTCCTCACTGACACCTGATCTATCACCTTGATCTTGGACTTCCCAGCCTCCAGATCAATGAGAAATAAATGTCTTTTCTTTAAAAACCTCCGAATATATGGCATTTTGTCATAGCAGCCCAAACAGACTAAAATGCCTACATTCAACTACACAGTAGAGTCGAGCGTATCGTTCAAGTATCTATGCAAATAAAAATTATTTTTCATGGTAAGAATTGGGCAGTATAGGCTTTGAGGATTTACAGCTTCTCTAACCATAGAAGGTATAAAGCTATGTATTAGTCAGCATTCTCCAGAGGAAATACAGATAGAGAAATAAAAATAGAGATGTCTCTCTGTCATCCATCAATCTTTCATACTATCTGGAGAGTTTTATTTTAAGGAATTAGCTCATGCATTTATAGGGACTGGTAAGTCAAAAATCGATAAGGCAGGATGAACACTCAGGAGTTTGATGTTGCAGTCTTGAGAAAGAATCTCTTTGGAAAACCTCAGTATTTGCTCTTAAAGTTCCCCTCAGATTGAATGAAGCCCACCACCTAAGGGAGGGTCACCTGCTTTATTAAGTGTAAATGTCATTCACATCCACAAATACCTTCCCAGGAATACCTGGAATAGTGTTTGACCAAACACGTGTAAGGCATACTTTTAAGCACCTTATCATACACATTAAGTTATTGGATGATACAAACAGAATTTTAAGGGCCAGGCATGGTGGCTCACACCTGTAATCCCAGCACTTTGGGAAGCTGAGGCCAGAGGATATCTTGAGTTCGGGAGTTTGAGACCAGCTTGGTTAACACAGTAAAACCCTGTCTGTAATCATCATCATCATCATCATCATCATAATTAATGAAACGATGTTGTGGTGGGTGCCTGTGGTCCCAGGTACTCAGGAGTCTGAGGCGGGAGGATGGCTTGAGGCAGAACATTAAGACTGCAGTGAGCCGTGATGGTGTCACTGCCCTCCAGTCTGGATGACAGAGTGAGAACTTTTCTCAAAACAAAACAAAAAGAAATAAAGGGGAAAAATTGTATTAGAATCCCCATGTTAAAGATGAAACACCATAAAGCTAATGAGAAGCATAGAGAATATTTGCACACAAGCAATGTGTTTCCAGGGGCAGACCCAGGTCAAGGCTACCTACCCGTGGCAGGCAGCGGACTAGATCTTGGAATCTGTCATTGTAAGCAGTCCTTTCTACAACTCTTTCTCATTAAATGGTATCGTAGAAAAGCACTTATAAAATGATGTGTTCTCAGTGTGTCTAGATTTAGATCACTCTCCTTAAATATATCTGCATCAGTAACAACAGCAAGAGTAATAATAACTAACGCATATTGCATGTCATGGTGTGCATATCCTGATGATTTCACTGTTTAAGCACTTTATGAAATGAGAGTAGTGCTGTACACATAATCATACTAATATAATTTCCAAGATAAGGAAACTGAGGCTCAGAGAAGACAACTTTTTCAAGCATAGGCAACAGGTAGTTGAGGAGACAGAAATTCAACCCCTGTCAGCCGTCCCTGGAGCCTGTGCTAGTAACCCTGCGCTCGCCCTTTCTGTATCATCTCTCTCGGATCTAGATGTTCAACAGCATCTGAGACGCTTCTTTCAGGTGAGGACTTAGCGTCAGGATTGGCTTTAATAGAATTGTGTCCAGGGTCACTAGGCAGGGTGTGACTTCTGTTTTGTTCAGAACTGTGAGTGGCATGATATCCCAACTTGCGAAGGATTTTTTGAGGAATTCTTATGTTCAATCAGGTGTTGCTGGATTTCACCTGCTATTTTCAAATTTTCAAACACAATTCCATCCTGAAAAAAGTAGTATTTCTATGAAACGCTCTTGACATTTAAAATGGTTGCTGTGTGTGGGATGAGAAATACATTGTTGCTAGGCTCTTTCATATGACGTTTACCTCAAAACTGAAGGCAGAAATCTTAGTTTTTTTTTTTTTAGATTTTTATAAGAAAAAAATGTGATAGTAAAGTACCCTTTTCAAGTCATTGTGTTGTTTTTCTCAAAAACATTCCTTTGTGTAGATGATTGGGAAAAAACATTTCATCAGCTAAATAAAGTTTCCCTGAAAACTTCTCCTGTCTCCACACATAACTATTTTGAATTTGAACATTCATCACATGCCATTACATATGTGTCTAAGAATGGTAACTCACACTGAAAAAGTACTTAATACTTTTTCATGTAATTTAATATTCCCCCAGGGGTGCCAGCTAGCAAAACGGTAGTAATGAGAGCTGCATGTCTGTGTATCTGAATGTCTCTGCATATGACTCTGTGTGTGTGTGTGTGTGTGTGTGTGTGTGTGTGTGTGTGTGTGTGTGTGTGTGTATGTGATATCATGACAGAAGGGTATTACTGGGGAAAAAAAGCAAAAACCAGAAGAAGAGCTCCTATCTGTGAGGTGCTCAGTTGGAGAGACAGTACACACTGTTTTTACCTACTCAGTGCTTACTCACAGGTGCCTAGAAAGAATTTATACTATCCTCCTGCCGCATGGTAGGAATCGTTAATTTGAGTGCAATGCTGTCTTCCTTTTTCAGCGTTTTGGTGATCCTCATATGAGAAAGGACTGAAAGAGCATCTCCAAGAGAGGCTTGGAGCACAGCCCTTTGGCTCCTTGGCATTAAGATGTGGTGGCAATGGCTAGCGTTAGCTTCGTGAGGGATCCGCACCTGTTTGCTCACAAACCTCATTATTTCTGTCCACAGTTGTGTTTGCTCCATGACCTAAGCAACTTGACATTTTCATCACAACTTTGGGGTAGAATTATGCGTGGTTTCTTGGCAAAATTAAAAATAGATGATTCAGTGGAGCCAAACTGATAAGATAAAAAATAAAAACCACAAGCATCCATCATTGTTTGTGGGTTTGAGTAAATTACTCAGCATTTTCATTTCAGATGTGCTTTGCATAAAAATGAAAATGAATTCCAATGCCATGGTCATGGAGACTGTAAAAAAATCATTACGATGTGGGCTTTTCCATAGTTAAACTCTCTAGCTATGTATTATGTATTTTTTTAAGCAAATGGATTGTGCTATGAGGAAACAGTAATAATTATTTGCTTGGAGGAAAAATACTGTGAGTCAAATACAAAAACCTCTCCTGGGAAGACTTGGCACATGGACCGAAGCTGGTTAATATTTAGAAAGGTCATTGTGAAGCCTTTAGGAAAACAAGGAACATTGAAATGACCTAACTGGGGCCTCTGGGATGGCTACCTTTTAGCTTTATTGATTATGACTGAGGCTTTCATGACAGAAGAAAGCCACAGTTGCCACTATAAATGTTGCCCCATTGTCTGCAGTCTCCCAGCTGTGGATTTAATTCATACTGCCAGGCTTACACAAATGAGAATGGGATACAACAACACTGAAACATGTTTGAATTACAAAACCCAAAACCCAAAAGAAGGCTGGCAAGGCTCTCGTTACCAGAAACCAGGATGTATTTTTAAATCACTGAAAGACAACTAACCATGAAAAACTGTAGACACCTCGCAACAAACACACGTGACAGGAAGCTTTGAGGGGCGGGGTAAAATTAGTCTCAAAACTGCGTTTGCACCCACCGTGCAGCATGATGCTTCTGCCATTCAGCACCTTGTGTCACCGAGTTCCCTGGCTTCTCTCTGAAAGAGGTTCCCACAGGGACTCACCTGGGAGGCAGTAATCTTGTCAACTATTTGAGGAAGATTTTCTGGTTTATTCTTATCAGGCAAATAATTTGGGGAGGATAGTTCGGTAGTTTAGTTTCGGGAAATATATTTTCATTTTGCTATTATATGTAGTTGCATATTGGAGAATAAGAAACAAAAATTATGAAGAAATAGTTATTGAATCTGCAGTATGTGTAAGATAATGCACTAAGAACTTACGGCACAGTAACACAAAGGCGGCTGTATATGTCGGGGGGTCTTGCATTTAGTTATAAAAATGAACATGGGGAAAAGTGAATCCAATGTAGGGTGCTGGGCATACATAATGAAGCTTTCTGAGAGAAACTGACATTCCTGCTGAGCTGTAGAATCTGGGAAGGTGGGATATGAGCTGCATGTGCAAGAATGAACAGTGCTTCAGAAGATAGATAGGGAAAGAAATGATAAGTAGGGAGGAGATGCCGCAGGAAAGACAGGAATGCAGATAAGTCACGAACTTGATTGGGGTATCCTCAACCTACAGAAAATTGAGCAAACACCTAGGAGTGTAAAACTTAAAGGCATAAGAGGTTGTGAAAACAAATAAAATATGATTAGATTTATGAGCTATTACAAAATACTTTTTTTTTTTTTGAGACAGGGTTTCACTCTGTTGCCCAGGCTGAAGTGCTGTGGTGTGATCTTGGCTTACTGTAACCTCTGCCTCCTCGGTTCAAGTGATCCTCCTGTCTCAGCCTCCTAAGTAGCTGGGTTTACAGGCACCTGCCAACATGCATGGTTCATTTTTGTATATTTGGTGTGGGATTTCTTCATGTTGGTCAGGCTGGTCTGAACTCCTGACCTCAAGTGATCTGCCTGACTAGTCCTCCTAAAGCACTGGGATTACAGGTGTGAGCCAGCACGCCCAGCCCAAAATATTAAATTGACAATATAGTGTTACTTTGTAGAAGAGTACAACCAGACAGAGTCCTACTGGATCTGACGGGTGGATCTGACAGGTGGATCTGACGGGTGTTATGGAGAAATTGTGGATTTCATAACAGGAACCTCTGTTCCTGTTGTATATTTGTTGGGATACTACTCATTGTGAAGTCTTAAATGTAGTCAAATGCTGACTATATTGGACTGTTCTTGCATTGCTCTAAAGAAATATATGAGACTGCATAATTTATGAAGAAAAGAGGTTTAATTGGCTCACAGTTCTGCATGCTGTACAGGAAGCATGGTGCTGGCATCTGCTTGGCTTTTGGGGAGACCTCAGGGAGCTTCCAGTCATGGCAGAAAGCAAAAGGGGAGCAGACACCTCACATGGCCAGAGCAGGAACAAGAGAGAAAGAGTGTGTGTGTCTGTGTGTGTGTGTGTGTGTGTGTGTAAGCAGGGTGGTGCCACACACTTTTTTAATTGACCACATCTCATGAGAACTTGGAGCAAAAGCTCACTCATCACCAAGGGGATGGCCCAAGCCATTCTTGAGGAATCTGCTCCCATAGTCCAGATACCTCCCACCGGACCTCATCTCCAACACTGGGTATCACATCTCAACATGAGATTTGGGTGGGGATACAGATCCAAACGATATCACTGAGGTTTGGGCATACATGTAAGTAGTAAATAAAGAAAAATAAGTATTTTTTGGCAACGTGCGGTGGCTCACACCTTTAATCCAAGCAATTTGGGAGGCCAAGGAAGACAAATCACTTGAGGTCAGGAGTTTGAGACTGGCCTGGCCAACGTGGTGAAATGCCGTCTATCCTGAAAATACAAAAATTAGCCAGTGTGCTGACGCCTGCCTGTAGTCCCAGCTACCCGGGAGGCTGCGGTGGGAGAATCACTTGTACCTGGGAGACAGAGGTTAAAGTGAGCTGAGAATGCATCACTGCACTCCAGCCTGGGTGAGATAGCAAGACTCCATCTCAAAAAATAAATGAGTATTTTTTTGTTCAAGCATTTTAGTAATAGGTCTTTGTTTGTATTCTGTGCATATGTCAACACTGATAAGGTCCAAATAATTTGTATTGGAAACATCTCTATACTTGTTATTCTCCATTATGGGCTTGATGAGAACCGTGCATTCAAGACAGATAACACACGTTTGGAAGCCATACAGTCTGTAGACGCAATACAAGGCTTGGATTTATTTGTTGTGCAATTTTTATTTATTATGTGATTATTCTCCAGGGCTTGACTTACAAAGGAAGATTGATGTTGGAAGCCCAAGAGGAATAGTAAACACAAAAATAAATATCACAGAAGAGTGATACTCTGCTAAACTTGCAAATGCATTGCAAAAACAGCGAATGCAAACAACACACTACCAATATATACAAATGAATGTTATGAGGACATTTTATGAGTTTCAGTTATAATTATTCTAGCAAGAATTGCTTAAGCTTCTAAAACCACAGTGTTATTTTTGGAAGTTTATTTCAAAGAGAATACTTTGTCAGATTGCTAACTTAAACGATGTAACTTTTTTGATAAAACAAGAACAGTAAAGAAATAGCCATAGTATAGCTAATAAAGCACTTCCTAGTAGGTTGAATATGTAGACATGCCTTTCAAAGAGAAAAAGTGATGTTATTCTTGGTAAGTAAGCATGGTAAATATTTCAAAACAAAATGACTTCATTTTTAATTTTTTTTCATTTTTTTAAATTGTTGTGGGTACATAGTGTGTATATTTATAGAGTACAGGAGATGCTTTATTACCAAAAAAGCAGGAGGAGTATTTCTAATTTTTGTAAGTCCCCTGTTAACTGTTACCTTATGTGTGACAACCGAAATTTGTATAAATTAAGAAATTAAAACTACTCAAAAGTAGAAACCAGAAGTAATAAAAAGAAATCATGCCTCCATAGCTTATGTGCACTAAGAAAGAGAGAAGTCTCAGACCGCACAGTTGACTTAACTGAGTCGTGGGGAAGTGGTAATTCACAGTTAAGAAGAGAATTCCTCTCAAAAAAAAAAAAAAAAAAAAAAATTGTATTGAGTGCAATGTAATTGGGTGTGTAGAATTTGGGTCAAATACAAGCTTACTTACTGTCTTATAATGTGACCTCGAATGAGGCATTTAACATCTTTGAGTATTTCTTCATTCATAAATGGACATAGTGACTTGTTTGCATAGTTTCTGTTACATATCATGTAAATTATGGAGTGCAGAGCTTAGTACTTGGATCACCAATAACTGACGCTAAGTACCTCTTATCATTTCCCAAATGAATAAAGTTTACTGGTAAATGTTAAAACAAGAATTTCATTCAACTTCTAGATCACAGTGGAAAATGTGCCAATTATGTGGTGAGCAAGGAAAATTAGGGACCTGGAAGCAAAAGGAAAGATTTTAAAGTTTTTTGTTTTACAAAATGTGTCATCTTTCAAACAAAAATGTACCTTACTTTATACTTACAGGAGACATTTTAGCAAGAAAAGTTACATTTGGTTTTATGATTAAATAAAAATAATGTATGTAACAATGTTTTCGGACAGTAGGTCTCTTGTTATTCATTTTAAACTTCTAATACCTATGTGTAAACAAAATACATTCTAGAAACATGCATCGTGGAGCTTTTTGTTGTTTTTTGTTGTTGTTGTTTTTGGGGGCTTTTTCCCCTTTCTGACTTGGTAACATCTTTGTAGTATGAGTGACAGTGATGAGCGCCCCACAGGAAAGCCAACATTGGAGCTGGAACAGCCTGACACATCACACTGCAAGAAAGGCACTCAGCACAGAGAATGGCTCATCCCCAGTTACCTACAGGCAGCAACCTGGAGGCTGCAAACAATCCGACTGATTGTGCCAGTGTTCTGCAATTTGCCCAAGGAAATACATTAGCAGAGTCTCCCCATTTTCATTAACCTTTCTTTTAACTCTCTGCCTATTCTGATTCTCTCTTAAAATTGCTCTTGAAAAGAAGGAAGAGAAAAATGTAAAAGAGATACTTAAAGAGCAATTGACTGTAAAATGGACGTTTGTATTAAACACTAATGAAAACTAAGCTATATCATTTTTAAAGATATGTAATGTGTTATTTCTGCATTATATATACAATAATGTATCTAACATTTGTTGTCTAGTAGACCTTGTCAATGATAACAGATATTACAGCTGGATTCCCCTCTCCTGTTCAAGAATATGCTACAACCTCATCTCTTATTTGAAGTCGTCTTCTGAGTTGGAATCCATACCACTGACCTTCTGTGGTCTGGTTCTCCCAATTCTTTCGTTTTCCTTCTCAGGTTCCTTCATTAACCTATTTTTTCACCTGCACTTCCAAAGTAGACATTCCTTGAGATTATGGCTCCTAACTTACTTTTCCTCCTATACATGGTCTATGTAAAATAGTCCAAGTTAAATCTTTCCCAAAGCTTCACCTGTGACCTTTTTTTTTCAGAAGAATCTCAAAGCCAAAGTTTTCTTGGTGATTTCTTAGCTGAATTCCATTTCTGCGTACCTCATCTTCTTCTGAAGATGGGCATTACTATTCCATCAAGTCCCCATTTGGTGTTACCCAAACGGAATGTTTCATGTTCTTGAGTCCAGACCTTTTCCTTTGGTCTTTGAGGAAACGTTGGGTAGATGCTTTTATCCTATATGTTCTGAGGTTTCTTACTGTTTTCTCCGTAGGAGAGAAAAAGAAGTTTGGAATTGCTTCTAACGTTCACTTTCCTTTATGCCCACCTTTGATTACTCATTATGCACTACCTCTCGTTTATGGACCTTTTTTCCTATCTCCTCTTGATACTTCCTTATGTCAAGCATATATGCATTCTTTACCTCTTGCTCAGTAGCTGCCTAATTGGTTTTCCCATCTTTTTATCTGCGCTGAAAATCTGAGTGCCTCTCGCCACATTGGTGATCGTCGTCAGGTTGCCCCATGTCTGAAATCGCAAGCCCTGTATTTTCAAAGGACTTATCCGCTGTCCTTGCTATGTCTGAGTCTCCCACCGTATGTGAAGATGATCTGCAGTCTTTGGTCATCTTAGACCAATGGTTTTCAAAGCAGTGTTCCCAAATCGGCAGCATTGGCATCCCCAGGGAGCTTGTTAGAAAGCCAAATTCTCTGGCACAACTCTAAACTGAATATTTCAGAAACGCTGACGGTAGGGCCCTGAGCTCTGATTTACCACTCCGTTCTGGTAATGCTGATGAATGCTAGTGTTGGAGAATCCCGTGTTAGGTCAACAAATATTGCTTTAAAAATAGCGAGCCAACGTCTTTACTGAGTTCGTACCCCAGGTGAAGGAAATTGTGCTACTGTAGACTGATATGACCGTGAACAGAAAAAGGTGCCCCAGCCAGCATGTAAATCTGCTCTATTATATTCTGACCATGTGCATATACAGAACGGAACTCTCAATTCCAGCCATCAGGTGGAATAAGCTTTTGTTAATCTACAGTCGTTCTCAGGGTCATCAGCATTTTAAATGGGCCAGCATTTAAAATGGGAAGTGGAGAGGGGTGCAACAGGAATAACATTCACGCCTTCTCAGTGTTGGATTCCATCTATAATCACTGAGTTTTATCCTGCATCTCGCTTTCTGGCCCTAGAGATGAGCATGATGGTTGTTGTGTAATTTGGGTAGTTTGGGAAAAAATCTTCAGATGCTTTCATGTTGCCCTGCCTACTATAATAATTCTTACCTCACCGGAAAAGCTAACAAGGTAGGCATGCTTTTGGTTGCCATGGATATTCATGCAAAGTGAGTATGCAAAAATGAGCAGACAAACTTCAGCCACAGGAAGCGCTTGAAAGTAGACGATTCTTACATGAAGTAAATACCATGTATTGCCTGGCTTCTGTAGAGTTCCTTCTAAGGCAGATCACAGTGGGATTTGGAGGTCTGTCTCTTGGGATTATCTAAGACTTCCTAGACAAGAGAACCCTCCACCTCCAACTACTGGTTTCTTGCTAGGTTGCCATTTAATTAATGGAATACTTGGTTAGTGGGGAGGAACAGAAGAAGGTCTTGAAAGTCGCACATTCCTGGTTCAGGGGAATCCCTGGAAATGTATCATCTGTTTTCATGACAGTTTCCTTTGTTATATTTATTTTTCTCCTCTTTCCCCTGTGTCTTGTCAGCATTCATGATTGCATACAATGTGCAGTATCATCAAGTGGGTTACTGATGTCTGATTTTTCCCTCCTGGCTCCACTGGATGCGTAACTACAAGCCATTTTAAGGAGCCACAGTGCAGCACTCACTCAATGAGTGACCACACCAGGAATGCAATGATGTGTCAACAGTGATATAATGATATCCTTTCCAAATACAATTGCCTCCTTCCCGTGAAGAGGCCCCATACCTAGAATCAACTCAGGACTCAGAGTGCCTTGAGGATCCAGGACCCTGAGGTGTGCTGGGATGGGAGTCCCTCCTCTTCTTTGTCTTGCTTATGTTCTCTAGCAAGACATGGGAAGCAGGCGCTAGGTAAACACACTTTCGATGTTTGTTTATGGGGCTGAAACAAAATAAACTGAAACCCTTCATCCATATATAACAACACCTTATGGAAAACAGGGCAAATTGGATTTTGCCCTTATATCCTCTGAGCTGGATCTTCCAGGAGCAGTGTTTGTTTGTTTTCTTCTGTATGGGAGGTCATAAATGGCCACTGACCTGTCTTGTTCCTAGTAGGTTTATCAGTCCTTTGAAATTATTCCCTGGCATTGGCCACCAGAATGCACCTCCTGGGGGTGGAGAAGAACCCTCTTTTGTGTGCACTTCATCTGCTTCCAAGAAGATTTCAGAAAAGAAGCTTGGTTTGCTGTGTTCACTGACAAAGGCTAGGCTTCTAGCTTTCCTGCCAGGGTGAGGAACCCCTCCTTGCTCCTGCCCCACCTCTGGTGTCCCATCCATGGAATGGCTGCTACTACAGGACCTTCCGAGTATTGATTTCTTTCGAGGTTGCTGTTTAGTTAATGGAATACGCAGTTAGTGATGAGGAAGAGGAAAAGGTCTCAGAACTCACATTCTTGGTGTAGGGAAATCTCTGCAGATGCATCATACATTCCGATGACACAGTTTACTTTGTTCTATATTTTTTATACTATTTCCACTGTTTGTCAGCATTGATAATTGCACAGCAGCAGTTAAGGCAGGAGATTTTTAGGTGATGTCATTGGGAAGGTAAAAGGTGTAAAATCTAAGCTTGGCCTCGGGTAAATTTGAACTACACAGAGGAACTGGCCTGCTAAGGGTGTGGCTGTGCCTGCCATTCCCAGGATCACAGTGAAGTCCTTGAGGCAGCAGGCTGCACTGACAGCCCAGTAGTCTGAATGCCTGTTGCTGGGACACCTGCCACCCCCAGGCTCAGAACTCCAAGACTCAAAATGTGGAGTTTCTTCATAGAAGTTGCCTTAAGCTAAACTCTCAGTACAAGGCACCTGGAGGAGGTTATTAGGAGCTGCCCATCCTTTATGGTTCAATAAGTCAAGATAGGCAGGTCTGGCCAGGGGAAGGGGGGGATATTTGAGTGAGCGGATGTGAAATACCCAAATCATACCCTCTCGGCTTCCTTCTATTTTATACATTTCCTATATAATTCTTGTTTGTAGAGTCCACTGCCCCTTATTTGTTTTTTCTCCTTATGTCTTCTGGTTTCTGTCGCACTGTTGACTTTGGGTATCAGCCACTCAAACACCTTGGAAAGCAGATATATGACCCAATATAGATCACCCACACTGGTCAGGATCCTTATGCCAGGCAACATTTCTGATAACAGGTTTCAGAGAAAGCCCTAGTCCCATTATGTATGGTTTGTTGTGAATGGTTACTTTGAATCAAATGGGGTGACCTGTGAAGAAGACATGGAACAAGGCTGTGAAATTAGGAAGGCCATGCTGTACAGGAAAGAACATAAGTTTATATTTCTCACTTTTCATGAATTTTAGGGGTTGAAGTACTATATAGAGTAAGACTGTGTGAAATAAGTCTGTTGAACCTGCTACAGAACTTCCGTTTAAGCAAAATTGCTTATACATAATGCCTAACTTCTCTTACAATCACATGGGTCTGCATAGGAGTTTAGAACTGGAAATTAGAATTGTATAACCAAAGCTTGTCATTGTACAAATGAGGAAACAACTTTGGAACCACCAATTAATGTCTCATTAAAATCATATGATTTTTCCATTCCTTCGCTGCTTAACTCTCTATTTGTAGGCTGGTCAAAATCTTTCTATTCTCAGATTCCTGCTGCATTTTATTTTATTTTATATTTTAGTGTAGTTTTTTGAGACGGAGTCTCGCTCTGTCACCCAGGCTGGGTTGCAGGGGCACGATCTAGGCTCACTGCAACCTCCACCTCCAGGGTTCAAGCGATTCTCCTGCCTCAGCCTCCTGAGTAGCTGGGACTACAAAAGCCTGGCTAATTTTTGTGTGTTTGTAGGAGAGTTGGGGTTTCACCATGTTGGCCAGGCTGGTCTTGTACTCCTGAAGTCAAGTGATCCGCCTACCTCTGCCTTCCAAAGTGCTGGTATTACAGGCACGAGCCCCGTGCCTGGCCCCTACTGCATTTTCAACCTTGTCACCATCTCTTTGAAAATAAGCAATATTCTGTAGACAGTGATTATTCTTAGATTTTTCTCAAATATGTCCAGCATTTTTCTGCTTCTACAACATGTCTTTTATGTTGAAATTTTCCTTCATCAAAATCTTACTTACTCTCTTCAGGGCCTACCTCAAATGTTATGTTTTTATACAGCCTTCCCTGAACCCACAACTGCATACAGCTTTCACTCTTTTAATCCCTAAGAGCTATGGGTTTTTCCTACTCTTATGATAGAATATTCTGCCATATGTAGTCACCTTGCTAATAGGTGAGATGCTTTTGCCAACTGGGGGAATTCTAATTCCACTTTAAACTCTCTCCAGTGCTCAGATTGTTGCAAAAAAAAGTACTCTCTTCAAATATGCAGATAACATGAAATTGAATTCAGGTCTCACTTATGTTTAAACTATTTTAAATACAGTATGTTTTCAAATAAAATTACATGTGAATTATCTATATGGAACCATAGAGTGAAAGGAAATTGTTAAAATAGGAAACTTTTAGCAATGTTATTTCAAATGTAAAGAAATCGGAGGATAAAATGATCCAATATTTTATATTAAGTATTTATGTAATTAAAGAGTTCATTTCAGTCTATGATGAAAAGTATCTGTGAATTAGGCATTTAAAATATGAACTAAATTAATGGAATAGCTTTTTTGATTTTCTTCTTGAAGATAATTAACAATGTCTATGACCCTGGTAATTTCATAGTGATAATGTGAAAAAATGCAGAAATAAAAATATACTGTAATAAAAGGCAAAAGTCTAATAAATCACAATGATGATATATTATTTATTCATTTCTTCTGAATGAATTACGTGTCAAGTAGTGTAACTACACTAC
The DNA here is from genome assembly GCF_000001405.40 of Homo sapiens. Lineage (NCBI taxonomy): Eukaryota > Metazoa > Chordata > Mammalia > Primates > Hominidae > Homo > Homo sapiens. The sequence goes on along the minus strand of NC_000008.11, from coordinate 4,321,821 downwards.
CAAAAAAGATATTTAGTACTTTGTAAATTTAGAAAAAAAATTGTAAATTTTCAAAGCATCCTTTTTGAAAGTACTCTTAATCGTATAGTAATAATTTGGAAACTTTAATCAACAAAGACATTGATTCCTATCACTATCTTAGGAATGTTGAACAGCTCTTTTATCTTTACCACTATTAAACTTTGCAGAGGTAGAGCAGAAAGGGGAGGAAAAGGTATTTGGTGCCTGTTATATACCAGATACTCACACCATTTATTGTCTGTTATATCTGTGATATACCAGATACTCATCCCTTTAATCCTTAACACATCCCTCTGCTGTGGGTTTGTTTGTCTAACTTGCATCACTGAGGAATTAAGAGAGTGATAAGGTAAGATTCCCAAGGTCACAAGTCAATAAGTGGGAGCAGCAGGTTTGGGATGAAAAAAACTCTTCTGATTGCTCCGTTCTTATGCTTTAACTGCCAGCGCGGGAGAGGAGAGAAGACGTATGGCCATTTCAGGAGGAAACAATAGGCAAGAGACTGGGTCAGCTCTGAACATACCAACACACCGAGGATGATCAGTGGGCCACAGGGACTAGCTGTAGGCACGCCTCATGAACGTGTTCATGCACTGGACACACATGTTGAACCCTACACTTTGATCACTGTGCGAGGTGACAGGATAAAAAATAGGTTTGACACTCTTCCTGCCTTTGATTGATTTAGACTAGAGTCTAGACAAAAACTCAATATAAGCGTATGACAAGACTTCATAAGAGATCTGTGTGTAAAACAAAATGTGAAAATATGAATGTGTATGGGAAATAAATAATTTACAGAGAAACTGGTATAAGGAGGCAATGCTGAAACTGGACCTGGCAGAGTGGCTAGGACCTCACACTGGGAGGAGAGGATACAAAGAAGAAGATACTATAAGTGAAAAACAAAACAAACATAAGTGTGTTTGTGTCTTTATAGTAGAATGATTTATAATCCTTTGGGTTATAGTAATGGGATTGTTGGGTCAAATGGTAGGTCTAGTTCTAGATCCTTGAGGAATCACCAATCCAAATGCCCGTCAATGATAGACTGGGTAAATAAAATGTGGCACATACACACCATGGAATACTATGCAGCCATAAAAAAGGATGAGTTCATGTCCTTTGCAGGACATCGATGAAGCTGTAAACCATCATTCTCAGCAAAGTAACACAAGAACAGAAAGCCAAACACCGCATGTTCTCACTCATAAGTGGGAGTTGAACAAAGAGAACACATGGACACAGGGAGGGGAACATCACCCACTGGGGCCTGTTGGGGGGTGGGGGTCTAGGGGAGGAATAGCATTAGGAAAAATATCTAATGTAGATCGCAGGTTGATAGGTGCAGAAAACCATCATGGCACGTGTCTACCTATGTCACAAACCTGCACATTCTACACATGTACCCTCACAACTTAAAGTATAATAATAATAAAAAAGGTTTATTTGTGTGATGACTTGTGGAAGGAAAACAAATAGCCTGAAGGTATTATAAGGTGAACACTCTTGTATTCATTTTATTTTCCTACTTGTTGTGGGTCTTATTTTCCTGTTTCTTTTCATGCCTGGTAATTTTTGCTTAGATGCGAGATATCACACATTTTACCTTGTTAAGTGCTGGATATTTTTGCATTTCTCTAAATAAAGTTTTGTGCTTTGTTCTGTTACACAGTTAAATTACTTGCAAAGGGTTGGATTTTTTTGAACATGTAATGTTTGTTGGGTAAAACCAACGAAGTCTTTTGTTTACTACTCATTTTTTTCATTGTTGAGGTGGTACTTTGAGTACTTAACCCAATACTCCTATTTTATGATATTTTTCCACTCTGCCTGTAAAAATCCAAACATTGGCCTTGTGCAAGCTCTGAAGATGACTCCCTACTGCTTTCCGGTGGATCTTTCTGTAGCCTGAGCTCAGCCTTGGGTACCTCTGTTACCTGCATAATATACAGGTGAGCTCTCAGCTGAAGACCCCGAGGGTCCTCTACACATCTCTTGTGAAGCTCTCTTCTCTCTCTGGTATTTTGCCCGGCAACTCTAGCAGCCTTTGGCCCCCCGGCAAGTCTCAGTTCTTTTTCCTCTAATCCAAGAACTGCCAAATTCTGCTTGGATTGCTTCCCTTCTCTGTTCCCTGGCCTCTCTTTCCAGGCAGTGAACTGGGTAAGTAATTCACCCTTTTGTTTTCTTCTCTCAGGAATCACCACTCTGTATTTCCTGTTATTCAACAGCCAACAATTAATGTTTCCTTTATTTCTGTGACTTTGTTTGTTTGTTTGTTTATTTTCTGCTCTGAGAGTAAATCTGGTCCCTGCTATCCTAGCAAAGCCTTAAGAAGGAGTAGCTATTATTTGGATTTTGGAAAGAAGTGTAGGTATATTGGTTAGGGCTCACGTATCGATTATGGGCCCCAGAGGCTCAGTATTTCAAAGAAACATTCAGCAAAAGGAAAGGAGGAAAATCATAATATGCTAAGACTTTTTAATTCATTTAGAAGAAACTGTTTAAAAGCAAGGAAAGGACATTACTAAGATAAATTGAAGGAAAGCAAAAGGGAAAAATGACTGTCAGGATTTAGGGTCACTTTTCATCAAAATCTGTAATTGGAATTACTGGGGGAAATTGACTAACAGTTTAAATTTTCAGGTATTTTCCCAATTTTGATTTAATCTGCTTTTAAAATCCTCCTTACTTTGTTACTATGTGCATGTATATGTGAGGACTACTAATGAAGTAAAAGATGTTTATTTGGTCAAACAAGGAGTTTGTACCTTCAAGCCGCTTTGTTAGACTTAAGGCCTCAAGCTGTTTAATATGAAGATGATAGATTGTCATTATTGTGCTTTCATTTTGTTTTTAATAAAGAGAGTAAAATTAAAAACCCACTTCTGACTAAAGTTTCAGAAAGTACGTTCATTTAGGACAGATCTCTGATGTTATCTATCTTGTAAGATGCTTTATGATTTATGGGAGGATGTTAGCTTTCAAATAGTTTAAAATTAACTTGCTTGTAAATACAATGCCAATATATGGTATCTATTGGTTGATCTGTACAACCAGTACAGAGAGTGGCTTTTTTTTTTTTTTGAGATTTTAAAATAATATTAAGCCTTTGAGTTAAAAATCAGTGATATCAAAAACAATCAGTGACGTCTTAAATTTAGAAGGTGTGTCACTTTTAATTACTAATTCAATAAGGGTAAACATTTCAATCAACATGTTTTTTATTCTTTTTAGTGTAAAAGCTCTTGTTAACGTAACTTTATTAATCAGTACTTACTCAAGTTTTCTCGCCAGTTGAGTAGGTCCTGAATGCAAGCTTTGTTTCATTACTTGCTAATGACCTTTTAACTCAATGTAATTTTCACAATATTACTCTTTCTCACACACACAGAAACTAAAATGCGCAAATAGAGATGTGTACGAGAGTGTGCACATGTGTGCATAAAAAGAGAGAGGAGGGATGGATGACCTAATGGTAAAGATTTTAGATTTTGTCTGCAAAGATTAGAAAGTAAAAACTTTAATTAAGGAAAAATGTTACCAAGTGTCATTTCTTTCTACAGTGACAAAAAAGTTCTAATAGTTGTAATAATTATCATTCACATGTAAACCCATAGAAGGATAGTAACAATATTAGAATGTTCATATTATTTCATAAATAACAATGTAGTTGCATAAAATTTTGGAATGGGTACAGCTTTACAGACAGGCTAAACTAAATGTCACACTTACGTGAGAAAAAACGAACGCACAATTTTATATATTGCTAATAGAATTACTCCTGGATTCTAATTGTATATCCAAATATTTATTCAATAACTATTATAAAATACCAAATACCTTAAATTCGGAACGGCAACATATTACATCATTCTTGACATTTTGTTCTCCTTTCCAACACATCTGAAAGACAGAACATATTTTCATCCTGCCAAAATTCGGTTTAACTTGGTCAAAAATACATTAAACAAATAATTACTGAATGCCTACAATGTATCAGGCACTTTACTATATAAAAGAAAACTTCTGGGGCAGTGTGGAAGTAACCTAAATGGTACAGACATGTACTCAGCTGAGCTATCGCTTCTCTTTTATGTTACCTCACTTCTAAGTCTATAAAGAACTATTGATTTAAACTTCCTGCTTGTCAGTAAATAAAATTGTCTCTCTCTCTCTCTCTTTCTCTCTCTCTCCCCTCTCTCCTCTCTCTCTCTTGAGTACTGACACTTAACTTGGACACTTTAAATCTATCTCTGGAAAATGAAGAAACAGCCAAGAAAAGTCACTTACCTTAGCAGGCATAGTGATTGTGCATGTACATGCCTTACACTGGCAGCGTATAGACATCTGTTACATTATATGACAACAGAGATACACTAACTGGTTTTGTAACCATTTGAGTTTTACAGCAGGGTAGAATGAAAGAGCCACAGCTTATAACACAGACGTGGGAGTCTAATTTCACTGCACCCCACGTTAGCAAGCAGGAAATTTATACAAATCACACCAGTGCTTTCAGCTTTCTTTTAAAATCATACATAGTAAAAAAAAGAAAAATTCCCTGCCTACCTTACCAGATTGTTATGTAAATAAAATATAACCCATTGAGCTGCTTTATAAACTGTAAAACTTTACAAGGGATTTGGGGATTATTATTCAACCTTAGATGATGATGATGTGCTTGGCCAGTTGGAAACCTCTTGCCTGTGATAAACACTAGTAGCTGATTAATTCCACAGGGCTTGTATGTTTTCAGTGCCGTTTACAAGTGTAGTTTTTTGCCCCAACAGTGTATTGGCATGCTCAATAAGAGTCGATTGTATTTACTCTTGAGTTTTCGTATGAATCTGACATGTGGCATATTTTCATTCAGTACCTGGCTTTTCTATTCCTTTGAAGATTCCCCCACCCCAAGATTTGGAGTATAACCACAAAACATCACTAATAGAAGCAGCTACCAATTATTTTGCGTTTACCGAGTGCTGACTTTGAGGGAAGCACAATATAGATTTACTTCTGGATTTGAAAAGGGTTTTGGGGGCGTTCGACCACTTTCTTATTTAACTATCGTTCTGAAAATCCCATTATTTTGAAACACATAAAGGAAGCCCCCCCCTTAGTTTGCATTTGAGTCCTTCATCTTGACACAGTGTACCCCATTGTCGTTCACCTTCTGTCACGGGTGTCTCTGATGTCTACACCAAGTCTTAGGACTCGATGGAATATTAGTGGAAAGTTATTAATTATATATAATTATTTTACCAGAAATCTATTATGGAATAATAGTTCTATTTGTATAGGTTGGTGCAAAAATCGTTGAGGTTTTCAGCATCGAAAGTAATGGCGAAAACCACAGTTATTTCACATCAACCTAATATATGAAGAAATTGTCTTGGTAAGTCCAAGAATTAACAGAGGTCTGTGGCAGCCCAGAGTATAAGACCATAACCTAAGAAACCGCTTGGAATAAAATATGCAGATTATTTTCTCTGCAGCATTCCTTGAGATATCTTACAGATCACAACAAATTCAGATTCGAGGATGAAAAATCACTACAAATGGAAGACCATTAGAAAATCATAAAATTTTAGAATATGGGGTCCTGCTCTCTTGAAATTTAGCTAATCTACATAATTGAAAGGGAGTATTTGGATTGTTGAAGGTTTTTGAATGGTTAAGAGGGTTAACAATAATGAGTGGTTGGCTTTTAATAACCCATTTTATTTTCTACTCAAGGATTCATATATTTCTCAGTGGGATATTTTCAAATTTCAATAATGCCTGAATATTTAAAGGAAAGAAAAAAGAATAAAAGATGACATTCACAAAATTTCCCGTTCTTTATTTAGGAGTTAAGAGAAGGTTATATTTCATTTTGTACATTTGAGTGCATCTTTAGCTTTATAAAACCTGTTTTTAAAATTTTACTAAGAAGACTGAGAATATAATATGAAACAAATTTTTGAAAACGCTTCTGAAGAATAAAGAAAAAAAGTTTGAATTACTTTATGCAAAATATGTTTTGAAATGAAATGACCAGCTAGTTGCTTTCATTCAGTTTCTTTTTTGCACAGCTCAATCTATACCTACAAATATGACTTCAATGGCTATTTTATAATCATCATATTTATGCTGATGTAAACCTTGATTCTATAATAAAATCATTTTATCTTTGGAAACCAAGTTTACTTTATTCATAATATCTGGCAAAGTTCTGGATGGAAGATTGGTTCTCCTTAAGCACTGTGTGATTTTTAGTTAATTTCTAGAAATCTAATTTTCTACTTTATTGGTTCACTTTTTATTTATCCTTTATCTTGAGTCAGGCCTTGGAATATTTTTTTTGCATTCACTGATTTATTTTACAAATATTTGCTGAACATGGGCCACTCATCCCTTGCTTGGGGACATATTAGTGAATGAGGCAGGCTGGTACCTGCCACCTGGGGCTCACAGTGCAGCAACAGCAGCTAGAAGACGCTGTGGACCTTAGGGTAAAAGGGTCTCCTCGCATACTGTCTCAGTTTTCATAAACCCTACCTCACTCTGGTCTTCAAGCCAGAGCTGGGCTTTCCTTTGAGCAGAAAGTGCCACCTCTGGTAGGTGTGGAAGCTGGGCAGAAAGTGTCATCTGTCTCCGGTAGGTGTGGATGAGGGCAGAGAATGAGTGGTGCTCTTGCGATGGTGTAAGAAGCCCTGTCCTCTTCCCTCCCTCGAGATGCCCATTCAAATGGTCGGGGCAGTGGGAAGCCAACGCAGTCATGATTAGAAGAGGGACCTCTTTTCTCAGGCTGGGGCTGTCAGTACTATTAGCCATGTGGGAAGGTGAAACCTCCTCCCACCATGTAGAATGTCAACCCCACTTTTCCTGTGGTATAATCTCTGTGTTTTTAGGAGCCCAATTATGTTCTTCACTCCAACAGGAAGCGTTTTCTAACACCCAGCTTGTCGCAGCTCCCTCCTCTTACAAAATCCTTTGCCCTTTTCCTGTGGTCTTTATTCATAAATGCTGAATCTTTTCTGAGGATAAATCATTAGAAGACATGGGTCAGATGTGTAAATGAGAAAACAGGATGTATGTGTGTACGTAAGAACACATAAAAACTTGAAAGGCATTTTGACCTAACACTTAACTCACAAATGGTAATGTAATAGTACATTACATTGCTTTTGTGTGTGTGTGTGTGTGTGTGTGAAAATGTAATACAACCAGTAGCATAAGTAAAAGTGATTGTGGACTGGAGTTTAGAATCATCTTTAGTATTTCGGGAGAAATCCCAAGGCATTAGCAAAGTCCAGACTGCTTAGAAAGGTATTCAAGGAACGGATGCAATTGAAATTGGCTTATATTTTAAAACACCCCATACTGCTTCCTGAAATAGAACACTTATTTCTGTTAGTTTGCCTGTGAACTCTGGCCCTGACAGAAATATGTAGGAAATGTTCTATGGCAGGTGGAGGCACTGGCTGTTGGGCTAGTGAATGTATTTTCTTCTTCTTTAATCCTATGTACTTTGTCGATTGTAACTAAGAGTTTGTGCTGTTGTATTCCATGTGGCATTGTGTTGTGACTTAACTATTAACGTGACTGCAGTCTTGAAAATAATGAGGGAACCAAGGAATGAGATGCTTTTAAGCCTTTAGACTTCGGATGTGTTGACAGTCTCTGCATGTCGGATACATGGTGGTATCAGTGTTGAATCCCCCATCTCCAGGACACAGAAAGAAAGCAAGTTTAACTGGAATTATTATTATTATTATCATTATTATTATTATTATTATTTTGAGACGGATTCTCACTTTGTTGCCCAGGCTGGAGTGCAGGGGCGCAGTCTCGGCTCGCTGCAACCTCTGCCTCCCAGGTTCAAGTGACTCTCCTGACTCAGCCTCCCAAGTAGCTGGGATTACAGGTGTGCACCACCATGCCTAGCTAATTTTTGTATTTTTAGTAGAGATGAGGTTTCACCATATTGGTCAGGCTAGTCTCGAACTCCTGACCTTTTGATCCGCCTGCCTTGGCCTCCCAAAACGCTGGAATTACAGGTGTGAGCCACTGTGCCCGGCCTAGTTCTGCTTTTTTTAAGTCATATGACCTTAGAGTAAATGTCTGAAACTTTCAGAGCTCCTGGTTTCCCTCTCTAAAGTGAATTTACATGTGTTGATGTTTAAATGGCATCTGCATGTTTAAAACAGACAGTCCACATTGACAGTTAATTCCAACATTCTTCTTTCCCTCCCATAACACGTATTTCCTCCTGATGTGACCTACGCGTGATTTTTTTTTTTTTTTTCATTTTGACATGTAAGACCTTTGGGAGCTCTTCGGGTTCCTGCATTGCTAACATTTTCAGAGGAGAATTAAATGTCACAGGGGTCCCGTCAGGCATCTTCACACTAAACGCATTCTCAAAAGCAGAGTGTGTGTCACGCATAGTGACAATGATGGTCTGCTACCCCCATGATGGATTCCTCCCTCTCTAGGGACTCAGCTAGCTATTAACCAGATTCTTCGCATTCTCTTCCTGGGGCACTAGAGGAAAGTGACTGAAAATTTAGCCAACTAGGTTTTTTCAGGGTTGTTAAGCTTTTCCTGTTATTATTCCCTAGGTTTAAAAAATGTACATTTAGTAGATTAGAAATTAAAGACCAGTTCCAGCTTGCTCACTGTCTAAGGGACCAATAAGGGACCATAAGAATGTTGTGTTTCTATATTAGCTCTATGGCTATCATGGGACTATATTCATTTGTAGTTTATTCTATAGAAATTTATGTGAATCATTCTCTAAATTCTACCTCCCCATCTTCATTTCCCCGCAAAACTTACCTTGCAGGTCAAATTATGGGCTCTTCCTCTGGGCTTCCAAATTATTTATGCCAATCAGTGTTATTGTTTTTGCCACGTGTGATGAAAGCTTTTTGTTTTTTAATGTTTTTGAGATGGGGTTTCACTCTTACCGCCTTGCCTGGCGCGATCTCAGCTAACTGCAACCTCCACCACCCTGGTTCAAGCAATTATCCTGCTTCAGCCTCCGGAGTAGCTGGGATTACAGGTATCTGCCACCACGCCTGGCTCATTTTTTCGTTAGTAGAAATGGGGTTTCGTCAGGTTGGCCAGGCTGGTCTCAAACTCCTGACCTCAGGTGATCCACTCACCTCGGCCTCCCAAAGTGTTGGGATTACAGGCGTGAGACACTGTGCCTGGCCAACAACTTTAATACATCTGTTGCTCATAAATAGAACGACTGTGAGCCCTTTCAATTTCATCATTCTCAATAAGTAACATTGATAATAAAACTGGAAACATAGAGTTCTATATGTGTATATATATATATACGCGCATATATATACGTATATATATACGCATATATATATACGCGCATATATATACACGCATATATATGTATGTATATATATATATATATTTGTTCCATTAAAAGTAATTAGCTTATTTTGGAGTTTAAATTGCTTTTAAAAAAGTAGGTATGATCATGTGTGTTAAAATACCTATATGAGTATACATCAATGCTAAAGTTTGCCAATAAATTAGGATTGCAATATGATCAGTTACGCTATCTATGCATTCTACACATGCATATAGATAGTGTGTATGTTCATTGTGTCTTCTGACTAAATGCACGTAGGAAGCGTGTGTAAAGATAATATATTTTGATTTTTAAAAGGGGGGTATTGATAACTTTTTTAACTCCTGGAAATTGACACACATTCTACGTATTTCTTTACTAGCTAGAAATGACAATGATTTCAACACACTATAATAATTTCATAGCAATGCATTTCTTTTTTATATGCTGAATAATTTTTATTTTGTTTTCTAAGTTTCAGGTTTAGGGATACAAGTGAAGGTTTGTTACACAGGTAAATAAGTGTCATGGGGGTTCGTTGCATGTATTATTTGATCACCCAGGTATTATACCCAGTACCTAACAGTGATCTTTTCCGCTCCTCTCCTTCGCACTCTCCACCATCCACTAGGCCCTAGTGTGTGTTGTTCCCCTCTATGTGTTCCCCTCTATGAACTCTCATAATTTAGATTCTACTTTTTTTTTTTTTTTTTTGAGACTGAGTCTTGCTTTGTTGCCCAGGCTGGAGTGCTGTGGCACAATCTCGGCTCACTGCAGCCTCTGCCTCCCAGGTTCAAGCAATTCTCCTGTCTAAGCTTCCCAAGTAGCTGGGACTACAGGCGCCCACAACCACACCTGGCTCAGTTTTATATTTTTAGTAGAGACAGGGTTTCACCGTATTGGTCAGGCTGGTCTCGAACTCCTGATCTCAGGTGATCTGCCCAACTTGGCCTTCTGAAATGCTGGGATTACAGCTGTGAGCCACGATGTCCAGACTTAGATTCCACTCATAAGTGAAACATGTATTTGGTTTTCTGTTCCTGCATTAGTTTGCCAAGAATAATGGCCTCCAGCTCCATCCATGTTGCTGCAAAGGACTTGATCGCATTCCTTTTTATGGCTGCATAGTATTCCATGGTGTACATGTGCCACATTTTCTTTATCTAATCTGTCATTGATGGACATTTAGGTTGATTCCGTGCCTTTGCTGTTGTGAACGGTGCTATAATGAACATTCACGTGCATGTGTCTTTATGGTGGAATGATTTATATTCCACTGGGCTTACAGCCAGTCACGGTATTGCTGGGTTGAGTGGCAGTTCAGCTTCTAGCTCTTTGAAGATATGCCACATTGCTTTCCACAGTAGTTGAACTAATTTACACTCCCACCAGTGGTGTATAAGTGTTCCCTTTTCTCCACATCCTTGCCACTTTCTATTATCTTTGTACTTTTCAGTAGCCATTCCGACTGGTAGGAGATAGTATCTCACTGAGGTTTTGATTTGCATTTCTCTAATGATTAGTGATACTGAGCTTTTTTTCATATGCTTGTTGGCCACATGTAAGTTTTCTTTTGAGAAGAAGGCATTTCTTTTGAGATAGTCTTGCTGCTGAAATAAGCAAAGGTGAGATCTAATGTGAATTTCTTCCTTTGGTAAGGCTGTATATGGACACAGTCTCCCTCTCCATGCTGGAGCTACTCTCTCCATGGTATACAATGCTTGCGTGTCTTGCAGGTTCTATGGTTGTTGTGTCTTTGTTTTGCCACCCCTAAATTTTATAGTCTCGGTCAAATGTGTCTGACTCATTTTTCCTAACATACCATGTTGATTTAACATCATCGAGAGCTATGAAAACTTTCAAAAATGTAAATGTCATACAAGTATTGAGATTTTATTGTGTCCAAAGATATTTTATTTAATGTGGAAGAAAAGAAGTTTCAAATTAATAAACAGCAGATAAAAGATAACGCATGCTGTTCATCCTTCCTACTTCTGCACAATTTATCTTTGTTGAATACCAAAATGTTTAAATGACTGGGCATCATGTAGGCTGTGAGAAACACTGTCTGTGAACCCTTTGACCAAGATACCCATTCATTCCAGTGTGGAGGCCTTTTCCCTTCCACACCCACCCATAAGAATTTCAGCTCTAAGCAGCCATGATAACAGTTCTAACTTCATATTTTTCTGTGTGATAAGTTAATTGCTAATTCCTGAATCCTCCACTAGATGGAAAGGAGATTACCATTGTTTCTTTATGGTCTGATGCAATACCTGGGTGTTAGAAACGTGAAGCAGTTACTAGGAGCAGGGATGAATGGGAGATAAGTGAATCTCTGAGAGGTGATAATTGCAGACCTTAGCATTCCTGATACTTCATCTTTCCATTACCCTCTGTCTTCTAAGGCTTTTCATACCTTTTAGCGTGTTTTCCAAACTCCTTAGTCTGGTGTGAAAATAAAGCACTATGTAAAAATAGGGGTAACTATAATCGACTATCATGTTTCTAATGAGCTTCTTAAATCACATTTCATAGTTGAAGCACATGTAAGACCCTCTGAAGTGATGCTCAGTGTCTGCAGAGAAAATACTCAGACAGCTATATTTAAAATGAAGTAAGGGCGAAGGGACCTATATGGAGGTGAGGTTTCTATGCTTCATTGATCTAGTAAAACGTTAATATCAATAGACTGTGATAGGTTATTTTGTATGTGTTGTGTATGTTACAATCCCTAGAGTAAAATCTAAAAAAATGTGTAAGGTGATATGCTCAAATACGGTCTAATTTCAGTAGCAGTATGCCCCTTCCCAAGGGAGTTGTACTAAAATGGGAGTGCTATTAGGGAATTTCATATGAACTGAGAGTTTGGCTGCTTGATGTGAGCCTATGATTTATACTTTGTCTGTGTTACAGGATTTACCTTTTAGTTTAGAAATTTGATGAGAGAAAATGCATTTAATATTTATTTTTTCTCGTCTTTCATAATATTAAAATTATAAAAATTTTGAATTTAATTTCTTTCAAATTTCCAAAGCTTTTGAGGGTCTTCTCTAAGGGACTACAGAACAAAAGATTAGTTTTTTTCCTAAAAAAACTTCTCATCTCATTTTATAAAATAACATGCTAAATAGACAGTGCAATTATATTGTATCTGAAGAAGCTGAATAATTAGTTGGTGTGAATTAATTAAAATTATGGGTCTTGCACTTAACGGTAATATCAAACTGACCCTAGGAATTGAAAGTAACCTTCAGAATCTCCACACATCTTCAGAAAGTTGTTGAATTGGCCTGTGTGTGCAAAGTACACCCTGACATTGATTAAACTAGATAGAACAAGTGACTACAAAAATAACCTAACATAAAAAATAATAAAAAGTAATATAGGTGTGAAGAATGACATCAATAATCATTTGCTGTTATGCATTTTCTCACCTAGTTTTAGGAATTAGTTCAACATTATGTCAGAAGGTTACAGGGAGTATTTGAGAGTCTTTAAAAAAGGAGAAATAAATGGACCTTTGATATTTTCTGAGTATTTTAAACCATGTGTTTATAGCTATAATATAATCATTACATGCCTTTGATATGGGGTGTCATTGCTTCATAAATGAAGGAAACAATAGCATAATAACTCATCTGTGAATTAGTTTTGTAAATAATCTTTAGTCATCACGCTCAAACAGCCAGTCTTACACATCTCAGATAAATTACTCTAAATCATGCAAATGCAATTAAACTCCAAAAGCACCCAGATATTTGCGTAAAGCCTCTTATAAACTGTTCTTGGAATAAGAATCCTTAGTTTTCCAAAGCAGGCTTAACAAATTCTCTCCATTATTCTAAGGAGCATTTCCTGTAAGAGCACAGGAAGATATATCGAAGACAACGTCCAACTCTGCTAAACACAGCAGGGTCTCTGAAGTACTGAAATGGCCTTTTGCCGTGTTTCACATTGGCCCTCGCTGAAGATCACATCCTTTTCTAAACCTTTTTTCCCATCATCAGACTTTCCACATAACACACACACACATGCACGAATACACCACAGACTGTGCACAGAACACACACTACACACAGTGCACACGCACCACAAACGATACACACCAGATACACCACCCCACACATACACTTCAAACTTCACACACACCATCAACTATACACAACAGACACACACACACATAAAAAAAACTATACATGACTGCATACCACACACATCCCACACAGTCTCAAGTGACTTCACCTCCTAACTCACAGAGATATTGAGGAACATTCGAAGAAACGCTCTTGTTTCTCTAAGTAAAACACATCTTCCTGCTTTGCCACCCTCTCCACTTCTGCCACTGTTCGAATAAAGACCAAAGTGTGTAACTGAGGCTGAAAGTCAGATCCATGTCTGGCGTTGCTCTGTAGTATGCCCACCATCACTGTTTACATCCCAGCCTCCTTGAGCCTCTGTAATTTCTTCAGGTGTGTCTCTCCTCTGTTACACCGAAGACCCTTGCATCCGGGGGTCCTCTTGCTAAAAACGTGCCTCTGCTGCCTCCTCTCTACTGAACACTTCTTGCTCAGTGAAGATTTCTGTTGAGTTTCACCACAGTTAAATCATCATATTATAATTTTTCAGACTGTAGTGTAGAGAGGTAAACTGACTCTGGACCTTATTCCACCCTTGATAAACTCTCTGGTTGCCCATGTAGGTATTCATTCCCACTCATGGTCAAGAGCATCGTGCTGTTCGTTTGCAAAGTCACCAACAAATTTGTATTTTAACCCATTTCCCATCGTCCTTGAGATGCAAAATTCGATAAGCTTGCTTATTTCACAAGTTGGGTGGGTACAGAGGCTGGACTCTGTAAACACAGATAAGCAGAGGCAACATTTTAAAATATGCTATTACTTGAACAGACCAGGCATGGTTGACATAACAGGGTAGTGAAGTTTTATTTCCTGTTAATATCCTTGGGGGATGTAACATGGGCTTTCAGAAGTTGATGATAGCATCTCAACTTGGTGTGATACGAGAATTGTGGTGGAGAAAAGAGTGCAGGAGGCCAAGCTGTGCTCCACCACCTCTCCCATTGCTCTGACTCATTTTCAGCCTCAATGTGGACATGTGTGATGCCTGTGCTAGGGGATTAATATATATATGTGAGAGATATCAACAGCCCTCTGTGCATGATTAGCATATGTTAGACTCACAAATGAGCTGTATTATAAAAATAATGAGCCGTAGAAGGGGGTTGATACAGTATTAAATGGAGCCTGTGCTGAAGATGAGAAGTAGAAATGGGAACTCAGTACAGAGACAAGGAGGCAGCCGGCCTTGTAGAGATAAAACAATTGAAATTGGCAATAGTGGGAGCAGGGTTGTGATGAGGATACCATAAACCCCACAGTGGACATGGTGCAGGCGACGAAGAGGGGCTGAACCAGGGCGGTGACAGATGGGAAAAGACAGTCGATCTGAGAGATGCTTGGGGGTAGGATCGACAGATACTGAATCCCACACTGAGGATTTTGAAGTATATTTTTAGCGTAAGGAAAGCATAACTGCAGATTTTGCAAAAAGAGATTGAAAAATTATTAGATTTTTTTTAAATCTGGAGATGTTAGGGATTGATTGGTGCTATGGAGAATGGAAGAAAGAAGGGCTGATCTGTGGACTCGCACCAGAACACTACCCTGCTGCGGTCGGGCACTCATTTAGAGGTGCTGCTCACTATATGAGGACGTTTTGGAAGAGGAGAGCATGTGAATTGTACAATCACCTACATGTGATCGACAATGGATACATCCAGATGTGTGAATGAGATTGAAGAGGCCAAGAAGGAAAGCATCAGGATGCTTAATACACCATGGGCAGGGAGCTGTTTTTTTGCATAAGGAAGAAAATTTTGTCTTCAAGATGAGCAGTGGATATCAGTGGTTCTAGAAATGAGATCTTACACCCTGCTGAGGCATTCACAATATGGAGGTGATAAAATATTTTTTATCAATTGAACTTTCACGATGATACTGTATTTTTTTGTTCTGTAGGTTTTTTAATCCAGCATTATCAGAGTGAGGCTCATTGATTAGTCACATAAAGGAGTAAAAATGGTGATGATGGAAGGATCGAGCTGGGCTGTTATATATTATTTAGTGTCTATTCAGGAAGGGCCATTCTACAACTTGTGCCACCACGTATTGTTAGTGTCGTGATATTTTGGAAGAACTTTTCTGAAGAGCACACTAGCGTTTTAATGCAGACAACTTCAGCGTGTTTTAAACCAGTACTCTTTCTTCTAAAAATCTACACAGACTATTCATTACCAACTATTTAAAAAGCAAAAGAAGATTCATTATAACATTTCTCACAATCATAAATCAAAATGTCCAGTAATGTGCATACTTAATATAATTACAGCAAATGCACCGAGTATAATATTGCACAACCATTAAGGTAATGTCTGGGCACACTATGTATCAGTATGAAAGTTACCCTGCAATACAGTTTATTAAATAAAGGTTATAGAATGGTAAACATTCTGATGCTTGAGAACAATTGCATATACACACGTAAGCAAAGACTGGAAGGGGATCCATACAAGATCGGCAAGTTACAGTATGAGAGGTTGTTTTCCTGCTTTTGAAATCCCAAATCACTTTTGTGAAGTGAAATTTAAAATACAGATCAGTAGTGTCTACGGCTGGTGTGGCATCTGTACATGCAAGAGATCATTCCATCTTTGCAGGAGGACACATTTTGAGCAAGCACTTACTCTCTGCTGGTTGAGGATGTTATGCCTTTTTGAGTCCTTCAGCTAAAACGGTCTTACGTGGATTCTGTATTGAAAGGTTAATTTTTTACTCTTTTTCATTCTTTCCTGTTATTCCAGAGAGAACAGCAATACTGGGAAGTTGTTCTGTGACACCGCTCTGCCCTCAGGGAAAGCAGTGCCTGTAAAAGCACATTAATTTTACAGTGATTCCAGCTGCTCAGTGGCTTACCTTACTTTTAGTCGATTATCCCTTTCACTTAAGCTGATGGAACCCTCAGCAAATCTCTTGCTCTATCCCTGCAAGCCCCTTAGATTCCAGTTCGGGTCTCACTTCTCTTGCTGCCTGGCTTTGTGGCGGCCTGACTCTCTCCTAGCGGGAGGCTGATGCAGCTCAGTTCCCAGGCATTGGAAATGGCCGATTTAGCTAAGCCTCAAAGTTTGCTGGCACTTCATCCTTCTCTGTTGGGGAGTGTGTTTGTGAAGTTACTTGATGTAATTGGGTTAAAAACTATCTTTCAAAATAGATACCAATGCATGTATCCGCAATATTATTTTTGAAATTTTATCCAGGAGGCATGGAACCTGTTGTGATTCTGTGCCCTAAAACGAATAGGTGCCTGTGTTGAAAAGGGACTCTAACGTGGGGAACTGTGTGTTTGTAGTGGGTCCTGTAAGAACAGGCATTGGCATTACCATCCAGACGTTAGTGTAGCAAATACCACAGCCTGATAAAAGAGTACTTGTTCATCATCTCATCGTTACACCTTAATATATATTTTGATAGATTAAGAGTATATTTTGTGAAATGATTAAGGTGAAATAGGGTCTCAAGACAAAAGTTCAGTGGTTTTCTGAATGACCTGCACCAAGGTATGGCTTAGGATGAAGTTACTAATTTATTGTAATGTATATTTATTTTTTGGTCTTTTCTTTTACCAAGTGATTTAGTTGGCTCTCCTTGTAGGGAGGGGCATCATCTTCAAACTGGAGATGTTTCCTTGCTGATAGGTGCATTATTTGGGTATGAGTAGCAGTGAGGGGAATCTGATCTGTATAAAATGAGGAAATATTAAAGAGGATTTGACATTTCAAAGCAATTTTAAACACATCCCAATTGATTATCACGATGAGCTAGCAGGTGGCCCAGTCCTGACACTGAAACAGTAAGGCTTACGTTTGTGTCAGGATGGGACTCTGTACTATCTGGGTGACTTCCAGCAAGTCACTTAACTTTTGGAACTTAAATTCACCTTCTGTCGCTCTTAGATGGTAATAATTTCTCTATTTACAACATGAGCTCACTTTGATAATCAAATGGAATGTATCTAAGACATCAGTTTGACATACAAAATAAATATCTTCTATATATTCTATATTGAACATGTTACCCGTTAATAAAATATAAAATCCTTGACTTTGCCTGCAAAGCCCTTCACATTTAGAATAAAACAGCTTTAAATCTCTTTTCATCAAAACTGGCTTATTCTCCCAAATTTGAATTGGTTTATGTCCTTCTAATTGTTTTATTTGAAAATTCAAATAGTAGCCTAAATAACAGTGGTTAATTTTATAAGACAACACAATGGTATTTCAAGGGTTTCATCGAGGCTTTGTGATCCCCTGGTTCTCTCATCACTGCTTTCTTGGTTCTTTTATGGACGCTTCCTAGACATCATGTTCAGGTTCTAGGCAGGAGGAGGCAAAAGGAAGAGGGAAAAGTGGCAGCTGGAGCTTATCCTTTCTTTAGAAAAGTACTGAGAGGCTGAGGCAGGCAGATCACAAGGTCAGGAGTTCGAGACCAGCCTGGGCAACATAGTGAAACCCTGTCTCTACTAAAAACTACAACAATTAGCCGGGGAGAGTGGAGTGTGCCTGTAGTCCCAGCTACTCAGGAGGCTGAGGCAGGAGAATCGCTTGAAACCAGGAGGCTGAGGTTGGGGTGAGCCAAGATAATGACAGTGAGCTCCAGTCTGGGCAAGAGAGCAAGACTACATCTCAAAAAAATAAATAAAAAATAAAAAAGTGAAAAACTTCCCAGTCACCTCTGGTAGAACTCTCTTCATATGACAATGTCCAGAAGGTGCCACACAGTCACCAACGCTGCTGAGAAGAAATTTTTTAAAATTTATTTTCCTTTTACAGAATCTTTGAATATAGACGTGCTAGAGATGGTAAGGAGATTGAAAATCAACATGAGCTCAGCACAGAGAACTCAAAAAAAAAAAAAAAAAAAAAAAAAAAAAAAAAACAGCTTCCTGCCCAATATATAAATGAGACAATGAATAAAAAATTAATAAATTATTTGAAGATTTTGGTGATGGAAGATGCTAATTTTTGCTTCCTTTAATACATTTGTCAGTGCCAGGTTATAACTAAGTAAAAATAATTATTTTTGTTTTGTTTTCTTTTATATTTCATGAGAGTAGAGAATACTTATCTGAAATAGATGATGCCTCTGTTAACAGATGTTATTCTCAGTTGCAAGCCCACAATATTCATGCCCTATTATATGTTTGAGGGAAGTTTTAGTTCCTAGAGAAAATCATAATGTCCTTATTTTAATTCCTTTTAAATTACTCAAAAATTGTCTGTGTAAAATCATTTTTATACCTACTTCCTTGTATGTGTTTTCCCTAAACACAAAAGTGCCATTCCTGATTTTCTTGGATTTTGTGTCTATTTGATATACAGAGGGCTGAACTTCTGGTCACAGTTTCATGCATAAAGGGAAGCAGCATTTTCCAGAAAAAAAAAATCTGTCTTTTGAGTTAATATGAATCAGCATGGAGGCCAACATTTAAACTGCTGGTCCTGCCTGCTAGTCCTGGAAAACACAGGGTCACTAGGACCCTGTGACTTCACTCTCTGGCTTGTAGAGGGGCTGACGGTGCCAACTCTACCTGGACTCAGTTGGGGTCAGTAAAAAACTAAATGACTTAATGAGAAGAAAAGAGTGTTGAAAACACGGCACATACACACCAGTTTAGTAGAGATGAATGCTTTTGAACATTAATCAGCTATTAGTTTTGACCTTTGTGTCAGAGAAAAACACAACAACATAGGAGAGAATCCCCTTACGGTGCATTATCGTATAGGGTTGAGAGAGAGGCGGAAACCTGACTTTCAAGACGGTCTCTTAATCTGACTTCCTACATGCAAGCACGCTACTGTGGTCAAGTAGCTTACATTTTCACAGACTGCTGTTTTGTCTGCACGATATGTGTGATAAAACCACCTTCACTATGGGATGAAAGTAATCACATATATAAAGGTTTTCAACTAGTGCCTGAATAGTATAACCCCTTGATACATTATCACTATGAATCACTATTATTGTTATTATTTTTACAGTTATTAGCTAATGAGTTAAGGAAAACCATTCCAAGGATATCTCTTACCTATTTTCCCAGACCATCACCTAAAACACTACATTTTTCTTTTGGGCCTTCATTGCATCTATTTAAAGCTTTGTTTTTTATTAGGTACCCCTCAAGTTCCACCTGGCAATTGGCCTTAAGTCCATAAACTGTTTTTTTGTTAGCAAGATAGCTTGCTTCTACATAATGAACATGATGAACTATACAAGGGGTCTTCATAAAGTTTGTGGAAAATTCTAATGAAAAAATTAGGGATTTCAAAAAATATTTGTACCAAAATAAACTCATATTAACTTGTTCTAACATATCTGAACAGGATCTAGTTTGAGGCACTAAGAAGGATAAGGCATTAGTTTGAAAAGAGCCCCTATCAAAGCAACATAAATTCTAATAAACTTGAAGTGAGAACAACAAATTTATGGTGAAGCTTGGGCAGAAGAATGGTGAAATCACCGATGCTTTCTGAAAAGTTTATGGGGACAATGAACCCCCCTGGCAAAATCAAGAGTTTACAATTAGATAACTAGGTTTAAGGAGGCAGGACATGATAGTGAAGATGAAACCCACAGCAACAGACTATGCACATCAATTTGCAAGAAAAATAATAATCTGGTCCATGCCCTAATTGAAGAGGCCTGAAAGTTAACAGCAGAAAACAGCCAGTGCCACAGACATGATGACTGGTTCAGCTTATACAATCTTGACAAAAAAATAATAATTGAGCAGACTTTCCACTTGGTGAATTCCAAAACATTGCACCCAGATCAGCTTCAAACAAGAGTAGAGCTTTCAATAGAGATCTTATGCAAGTGGCATCAAGATCCTGGACCACTCTGGTCTCTGAAGAGTTGTTACAGGAGATAAAACATATCTTTCCCAGTACCATCCTGGAGACACAACAGAATCAAAGCATTGGCTACCAAGGGCTGGAAGTGGTACAGTCAAAGCAAAAGCATAACAGTTGAGTATAAAGGTCATGGCACTGGTATTTTGGGATGCTCAAGGCATTTTGCTTGTTGACTTTGTGGAGGGCCAAAGAATGATGATGTTGGCTTATTATGAGATTGTTTTGACAAACTAGCCAAAAGTTTAGCAGACCACTACCCAGGAGAGCTGCCCCAGAGCGTTCTTTTCCATCACAACAATGCTCCTGCTCATTCCTCTCCTCAAACACGGGCAATTTTGCAAGAGTTTCAATGGGAACTCATTAGGCATCCACTTTACAGTCCTGATTTGGCTCCTTCTGACTTCTTTTTGTTTCCTAATCTTATCATGCTGCTATAAAGACACATGCACACTTATGTTTATAGTGCACTATTTACAATAGTAAAGACTTGGAACCAACCTAAATGTCCAACAACGATAGTCTGGATTAAGAAAATGTGGCACATATACACCATGGAATACTATGTAGCCATAAAAAATGATGAGTTCATGTCCTTTGTAGGGACATGGATGAAACTGGAAACCATCATTCTCAGCAAACTATTGCCAGGACAAAAAACCAAACACTGCATGTTCTCACCCATAGGGAGGAATTGAACAACCAGAACACGTGGACGCAGGAAGGGGAACATCACACTCCGGGGACTGTTGTGGGGTTGGGAGAGTGTGGAGAGATAGCATTAGGAGATATACCTAATGCTAAATGACGAGTTAATGGGTGCAGCACACCAGCATGGCACATGTATACATATGAAACAAACCCGCACGTTGTGCACATGTACCCTAAAACTTAAAGCATAATAATAATAAAATGTAAAAAAAAGTCTGTAAAGGACATTTCCTTCAGTTAATAACGTTAAGAAGACTGTATTTATGTAGTTAAATTCCAAGGACACTCAGTTCTTTAGGGATGGACTGAATGCCTGGCATCATCGCTTACAAAAGTGTCTTGAGGTTGATGGAGCATATATTGAGAAATAAAGTTTATATATTTTATTTTTACCTTTTAATATTATTTTTCCACAAACTTTTTGAGGTCCCCTCATATTTCCCCATCTGTGCCCAAGTGTAGGAAAATATGTTAGATGCAGAAAGCTCTGTGTTTACAAACGACTTTATACATTATCAAAACTGAACATTACACACCTTCTGTGAGATAGGCAAAAAGGAAATTGTCTGTTTTGTTGTTGTTTTTATGAAAGATAACTATGCAGTCAAAAGCACTCAGCTGATGTTACCTAATTAGCAAATGGGCAAATCAAATCCTAAATCCAGATGTTCTGACATGTATGAGAAGTTCTTCCTCTCACTCTTTGTGGCCTCTTTATACAAACTTGTAGATTTATGCTTTCTACAAAGGACAGAAATTCTAATAGCTATTATCAACAAATAGTATTTATAACTTGAAAAATAGTGTCTGGGCCGGGCGCAGTGGCTTATACCTGTAATCCTAGCAGTTTGGGAGGCTGAGGTGGGCAGATCATGAAGTCAGGAGATCGAGACCATCCTGGCCAAGAAGGTGAAAACCCATCTGTACTAAAAATACAAAAATTAGGCGGGCGTGGTGGCACGTACCTGTAATCTCAGCTACTCGGGAGGCTGAGGCATGACAATCGCTTGAAATGGGGAGTCAGGGGTTGCAGTGAGCCAAGATCGCCACTGCATCCAGCCTGGCGACAGAATGAGACTCCATCTCAAAGAAAGAAAAGAAAGATAGTGTATGATATATGATATGATACAAAAATATTGGCCAATATGGGGCATATTTCTGAATGTAGACTTTAAATTTTATGAGAAGCTAGAAACTGATTTTTCTTTGCAATATACTCAGCACTTACAAGGTGTCTACCACATGATGGCTATTGAGTAAGTATCTGTTGAATTAAAGAACCAATTACTAGTGGCTTTTTGAAAGACTGTAGGAATCCTGAAAATCACCTCTCTCATGTTGAGACGACTGGTTATCTACAATCACTTCAGACACTTACAATATGTCAAGTAAAAACCCCCTCTTGGAAGTAATTATTTAAAAAGTGCGTTCTCTGGGGGTGATGGGGGTGAAGAAAAACTTTATCTTATCCGACGGTTTTAAATTTAAATATTTACAGTGTCTTATTTTATTCTGATGACTTACATTACCTGGCAAAAGTATATTTTCTCCTATAAATTTCTTACAACGTTTCTTTTTTGAAGAAAAGCACGATCTGTTTTGGCAAGATCTTTTAATGTTTTCTGTATTCTATCACCTTCTTCCCTCCTTATATTATCATAAGTAAGAAATAGGATTAACAGGAGAATATTTATTTCCTACAGTTCTTTTATTCTGCTTTTTAAATGGCAAATTTAACATCAGTAGATCTGCAAAGCAACACTTTCATTGTTCTATTATATATGACATATATATGTATTGTGTGTTTATGTATTTATGTGTGTATATATACATATATATGATGTAAAATTTACTCATTTAAGTCTAATTAAAGAATTATACCAGTATTTCCAGAAATAATTTTTTATTATACTTTAAGTTCTAGGGTACATGTATTTTACAAACACATTCTTCAAAATAAATTTATTCAAAAGCACAAATATCACTTTAACATTAATTTCTTAACATCTAGTTGGAAGAAAATACTTGATTTAGTATCAGAGTAGCCTGAAGATGTAAATGAAAATGAAATAACTTCTTAGAACTGTATTAAAACTAAATTGTGATGTTCTATAACGTTTGCATATGGTTAACATTAAATATGTGTATCAATATTTGTAAATTTACATAAATTCATTGGGTACAAGTACAATTTTGCTACATGTGTACATTGTATATAGGTCAAGTCAGGGCTTTTAAGGTATCCATTACTCAAATAATATACATTGTACTCACTAAGTAATTTCCTGTATAGGGAATTATTCACAACTTTGTATAACAGTCTAGTGTCTAGTATGGTATTCTTGGATTCAAAGCAAATACAGTAAATAAAAACTATTACAGTAAACTGATGTCATGGAGCGTTTTTGAATGAAAGGACAACTGAGAATAACAGTAAAGGAATCAAACATTATTATTGTAACTTCTTACCTTTTAATGTATGTGTTTTTAGTTTTAATTGCAGAAACAGGAAGCAAAGATTGGCATTATTTTGGAAACTTCATTTAACTAAGGCAGATTCCTCAAAATTATGTTTTTCTAAACTTTTCTTCTATACCATTTTTGAATATGTCCCCAGTGCCCTGGGATGTTCTCCAGGTCCTTTATACCCTGGGTTTTCACCAGAGAGACGCTAGCATGTACTGGTAGTGATGCTTGAGTTCAATATAAAATCAATTTATTGAAGGGAAACAAGCGTTTGCTACATTTTAGCACCTCTTCACCATATTCACTCTTCAGGTAATCCGTCACCTAGCCTTTTATTTTCCTTTGCTAATAAAAACCTTTCTGATTATATACTTTTAAAACATTCGATAAATTTTCTTGTTTTAAAGTGCAGGACCACCAGCAATGTTTATATAATGGCATATTCAGAAATCAAATTTAATTATATAATTCACTGAAAATCCTTTTGAAATGTATCACCTCTCACAGGATGTTGGTTCTTAATCGTTAGTGGTGCCATTGAATGATCTTCCAACACAGAGGCGATCACCGATGGCTCCGGGTTAATGCTAAAACAGTAGCAGAAAGTAGTCAAAATCCAAACCCTAGTGTGAACTTTTGAAAGGTCAAGTTCAATTTCAGGCTATCTTAGCCTTACAGGAATTTTAAACATCTAAAATTAAAATAACAACATTTAGCATTATAAATTGATCATATGTGAGGGGTTTAACAGCTATAGAAGCAAAAATGGCCTGAATGTAACTTTGGTTAACTGAATAAAGTATTAGCTTGCGGACGCCCAGCAACTGATGTCTGTTTTTCCTTAATACCGTTTAACATTCACTTCTTAGTCAATAAAAATGAATTACAGTACGCTGAACGTCTGCATCTTTTATCTTTTGTTTTGTTTTGTTTTTTTAGATTTGGATTAAACAGGTTTTCTCTCAGTATCTTATGTAAGATACAAGGCTGTTTCTTCATATAGCCTTGGTAAATTTCAAGCTCTATATTTAATTATTTCTAAATGTTTGGTCCCCAGTTTCTCCAGGGATTTAAAAAAATACATTTCTAGATTGTAAAAGTATATTCATGACTATTTTATGTGTTTTATATTTTTATGCCAATTAAGATTAAAACGTATTACACCTACGATGCTCTAGAGTCTCCCCAAGCTCTTCAACCTATCTAACCCATCCGACCATTTTTATTGGCGTAAAAATGTAGCATTACTCTTTCCCAGCACTTCCTATTCCTGTCTTTGTACTTCTTTGCACTATTGTCATCTGACTTACAGGTTTTTATATTTTCACATTTGTGTACCATTGTCCATCACTCATGCACAGGAATATAATCTCCATGAGATGAGCATTTTTAAAAAAATTGGGAGTCTAAGACAAGTCTGGGAGATAGCAGGCCCTCCACAGATATCTTCAGATGAATACAATAATCACATTTTCTATTCATTTTCACCAGCATAAAGCTATTATTTAGAAATCATTATACAGTAGAAATATACCCAATAGAGTGTAAGCCCTGGAGAAAAAAAAAAAAAAAAAAACCCTTATTTTCGTGTTTTCAGGGACCCAAGCCTAGGGACCTCCACATACGAGTTAATAGTGAATATTAACTAAATAACAAACTATTATAAAATATGAAGTAAATGTACCTGCCTTTTGCATGTAGAAATACATCCATCCTCTGAATTATGAGTAGTGAATAATGCTTAACATCAGAAATAGATAAACCCTCTCTTTGGGAAAAGATATTAATTATTTAAAATATTTAAATATTTTACCTCTGGCCATGAGTCCAAATGCCATGCTATCTCACACTCTTGTGATAACCCTTTATTTTAAATCATTATTATGTTTAGAAATAATGGATGTGGTCCTGAAATATACATGAGTTTATAGTGCATAATCCCTGAACTATAGAATTTATAACCACAGGGACGAAATAATTCTTCCTGCCTTGGGCACTTCTGAATTCTGGTGCTATAAACTCCTCCAGCTCTAATCACTGATCAAGGTTTTAAGCTGGACCCAGCTGGAGATGAGTTGAGGACTAAGGTGCCAGGAGGGAGACCCTGAGCATAGTTTGACCACACCTTCCATTTTCGCTTCTTATTGTGGTTTTGATTAAGATTTCTCTCCTTGCAAAGAGAAAAACAACAGAGAGCACATCATTTTAAGGGCTCCTTCAGTCTTTTTTGCAATTAGACAGTTTCATTTTTAAGATGTTGTTGGAGATAAAGTCTTTAGGTTTTTGTTTTTGTTTGTTTTTTTCAGGAAAATGTTCTACAGAGTGAGTCTGGGACATGCTGTGTTCCTGAGATGGGAGTAATTAGTGAAGCAGGCAATGGAGAAAAGACAAGAGCATTGTACTTGTTTGGGATAATGGTTGAAGAAATCTGAAATTTGCATAAGGGAGAATTAACTTTAAATTTTCTCTCAAGATGTGTGTGTGTATATATATATATATATATATATATATATATATATATACACACACACATATACACACACACAGATATATATAATTTTAACACAATATATAACATATATAACATGTATAATATAACATATGTAATCTTAAGATTATATTTTTATATATTATGAATATATGTTTATATATATATAATCTTAGGATTATATATAATCTTAAGCCCTTAATAAGCCCTTAAAAAGATGACATATAATCTTAAGATTATATATTTATAATATATGTAATATATATAAGATTATATGTGTATAAGATATATTTAATCTTAAGATTATATGTGTATAATAAGATTATATGTGTATAATAAGATTATATATATCTTAAGATTATATGTGTATAATAAGATTATATAATCTTAAGATTATATGTGTATAATAAGATACATATATAATCTTAAGGTTATATGTGCATAATCTTAAGATTATATGTGCATAATCTTAAGATTATATAGATAATCTTAAGATTATATGTGCATATAATCTTAAGATTATATAGAAAATCTTAAGATTATATGTGCATATAATCTTAAGATTATATAGAAAATCTTAAGATTATATGTGCATAATCTTAAGATTATATAATCTTAAGATTATATGTGCGTAATCTTAAGATTATATAATCTTAAGATTATATGTGTGTAATCTTAAGATTATATGTGTGTAATCTTAAGATTATATGTGTGTAATCTTAAGATTATATGTGTATAATATATACATATATTATATGTATATATAATCTTAACACCTTAGATTGGGTTCAGATCAGGTGACTTGGCAAAATATAAGAAAAATATCCTTGGCACTTTACCTGAAAGAAGAGAGAATAGGACCACATGGTTACCTGAGGCTTTCGTTCCATACACATTGACAGCTACTAAAAGGGCAAAGACAAAGTTTTCTGGAATTATTTTAGGAAAGTTACTAATTACACATGGGTTGAAAAGTAAGCACTTTTTTCCAGGTTTTTATTTTACCCATGATTATTACAAATAAATTTAGAAAGTCATCTAATTACAGTAAGAAAAAAATAGATTATATGAGAAGAGAAGCTAAAATAGATGGTCATCTTAGAATATTTTTAAAATGTAAAATACCAAGAAACATGAATATAACTTTCTATCAAGTTGTTCTGGAATGTTCAGGGTCTGTAGTCCTTAGACCTGGTTTCTGGTTTCACTTCATTCTCTAACATGGCACCATGGACAAGTGATTTGTGTTTGCTCATCTGCAAAGTGGAGGAACTCATGGCATTATCCTGAGGTTAAATGAAACAACAGAGATCAGTGATTTAGATCATTATCATTGCCTGCGATGTTAATTGAAGTGTCTGATAAACATTAGCTATTCAAGTACAATCAGAAAGAACGGTGACATCTTGCACTCTCTGGAATACTGTCTCTAGAATCTTGGGTTTATTTTGAAAACCGTCAGTGCACGTATTATTTATTAAAAGGATATGAAGCACCGAAGCCTTTATTCATAGGTGATTGTTTGTCACACGATCTATATGCTATCAATTCAGAGATGTTCAGTTTCTCCCGCATTTTGGTGTCCCTGAAATTGGGGTGTAGTTGCTGCTGATGGCATCTTACAGTGGCTGCTGGTCGGGGTTAATCAGACGTCAGTGTCATTGCCACATTACTTTTTCCAGTGACAGGAATATAGAACTTCAACTTCGCAGTATTTCGGTGCAATAGTCACTTGAGAACCACGCAATAAAGAACAGAAGTCCTGATTCTTATCCTAAAACTTTTTATACACACTATTTGGTAAGTTCAAAAAGCACCAGCTTTAGAACTTGTAGAAAGTGTTTAAAAGTGTGGAAAGCTCTACAGTAGACACTAATAGGACATCCCTCTATCAAACCTTAAATCTGGTCTCACCACTGAGTCAAAAACTAGTAGAACAGCTTTGGACACTGAATGTTAAAATGGCTTAGAAATGCATGTTCATTTTGCTTCAATGTTCCTTGTTTTATTTGTACCAAACTGATATAAGACAAAAATATCTGTGCTTTAATATGTCTAAAGCATCTTTTTTAAAGTATGGAATGCAATTCTAAGTAATGAGATATGATTGTTATTATTTATTGGTGGTTTATAAGAGACTGCTGTGTCTTACAGTCAAAATACACGATTGCAGTATTGCTTAGTTCATGATGAGATGAGCTCTTTTATTGTGCCTAATTTGGAAGATAAGGCACAGGGGTGACAAGTCTATTTCATGGTTAGTGTTCTTTTAAAGTAAGTATAAAAAGAAACGCATACTGAGCTAGATATATAAATAATAATTTTCACATATTAGTGTAATTAATTTTTTTAAAACACTTTTTAGCCGTAGCTTTGGTTAATAATGCAGGAGCTTAAGAGTTGCTCAATAAATTTAGATTGGACTTACTAGTAAGATATTAATATTTGCACAAGTAATTTCAGCATCGTCAGTTTCTCATTGTGCTGGCCAATTTTCATTTGCTGCTTCAAGCTTCCTTGTTGTGTCTCTCCACGACTCTGTGCCCTTGGAGTCTGGCCTTGAGGACGGCATCATTGGGCTCTCTTCCTCTCTCTGTGCCAGGGAGGTTCAGTCCTCAGAGTATACTGGACAAAGGGCAGGTGCGGGACAAAACTGAGAGGGCGATGCTGGTAGCCCCCTCCTGCTGTTTCCGCATGTGCAGTGCATGGTTCTACTCCAGACGCAGCTCTGGTGGAATAGCCCCTTCTCAAGCCATAACCACACTTTCCCTCCCTTGCCCCTCTGCACCTGAAGAAAAGAGACTGTTCACGTCTTTTGCCTCTGGAGTGCTTTGTGGGTCCCTTGTTGGTTTCTGTTAATACTATCCATGAATTTGCAGAACTAACAAATTATCTCTTTACAAAAAGCCTTTTAAATTAACCCATTAAATATTCCATCTCTATTCTTAGGGACCCTGACTCTTAGGTAAATCTTTTATGTAATAAGATACATGGTTGGGACTACTGAAGATTGTGTTTAATATTCAGTTTGAACAATGATGAAGATACTAGAGGCCTAATATTAAGACTATAACATAGAAAAAATAAACTGAATCATTTTTTCTAATGAATATTTTCATGTATAGAAACATGTTGATGATGCAAGACTGAGGCACAGAAAATATCAACATGTTTACATGTATTAATCTTATAGTGGGTTGTTATAAATTCCATTCAGTTAAAAAATTCGGGCGGGCACGGTGGCTCACGCCTGGGCTGTAATCCCAGCACTCGGGGAGGCCAAGGCAGGCAGATTACGAGGTCAGCAGATCGAGACCATTCTGACTAACACGGTGAAATTCCGTCTGTATTAAAAACACAAAAAATTAGCCGGGCGTGGTGGCGGGCACCTGTAGTCCCAGGTACTCTGGAGGCTGAGGCAGGAGAAAGGCGTGAACCCCGGAGGCAGAGGTTGCAGTGAGCCCAGGTCGCGACACTGCACTCCAGCCTGGGCGACAGAGCGAGACTCTGTCTCAAAACAAAACTAAACAACAACAACAACGACGACAACAAAATTCTTTGGAAAGTAAGAAAAAGCAGCATATACAAATAAATAAGTCCATCCCTTCTGAAATCTATGACCGGGCTCACCTGGGTCATTTTCATATTTCTTTGTTGTTGGTATGGCCAGGGTCTTCATTGTTCCTGTTCCCTGGTATATCTCCTTGGTGTTTTCATTGAATGATCAAGTGTCCAAACCTCCATTATTAAAGTAACTAGGTAATAATGGATCTATGCAACAAACTCACTCTGG